>NC_000004.12:82557744-82709259 GCF_000001405.40 Homo sapiens | reverse complement strand
AGGTATTACAGGCAAGGGAGTAACTTGGAAGGGCATTAAGGAAAACCAGAATTTTGACTTTCAGCTTTTGTTTTGAGCTGGCTAAAAGGACCTGATTCATTCAAGTTCCTCCTGCTAGAATGAACTCTGCTTCCAGGGCACAGGCAATCAGCAGGGGCATTTAGATGTGGGCTCTTCCTGCCTTAGATTGTACCCTGGCTCTATCACTGTCAAGTTTTCTTCATCTGTAAGATGGAGATCATAATGGCACCTACCCCCTACACTTGTGGTGAGTATTAAATGAGTTACTATGTATAAAGTACTTAAAGAGGGCCTGGCACATAGAAAGCTCTCAGTCAATATTATTTATTAATGTTCACTCTGATGCTATAGAGATACAGATTATAAGCGAGGGTTAGAGAGCTCGGCCAAGTGCTTCCTTCTGTCGAGCACTCAGGGATGGCTCTTGAAGGGGGCTGTCCATCTCTTTCTCTGATCAGGTCCAGGATTAAGGGAGTTTTAACTTTTGCTTTTTAACATTCCTCTAGGACTGTTCTCTGTCATATAGTCAGGAGGGGGTCACTACAGTCATTATCAAAACAATGTACCAAATAGGGAAATCAGGACAGATAGGAGGTTGTGCCTTCCACACAGAAGCCAAAGGAGCTCTGGACTCTGTCTCTTCCCATCCCTGGCTGCTAGATCTTGGGCTTGTGGTGCAAGCATGGGCAACAAGGTACTTCTGCCTTGGAATCCTGGGTGGTCTTGATAGCTTCAGGCATAGGTGTAGGGTCAAACAGAGGCTCTTCTTGACCTCTGTGGAAGATTCAAGGGTCCAAGTTATGACACATGTCTGGTGGTGGCAAGTATCTAGGGGTGGTGATGCCTGTGGGAGCATCCTAGGCCAATGGTTGGTTTTTGATTGCTTTGTTCTGTTTTGGGACGGGTCTATTTTATTTTACAGTAAGAAAATATATATAATAACAAAATCCAATGGGAATTCAGTAATTGTTTCTTTAAATAATGGATTTTTGAGCTATAACTCATACTGTACAACTCACCTATTTAATGTATACAAGTCATTTGTTTTTAGTATATTTGCAGAATTGTGCAACTGGCCCTAAAATACATTTTAAAACATTTTTATTCATAGAACCCATTAGCAGCCACTGCCTTCTTCCCCTTTCCTCCACCCCCTACCCCATGCAACACCAGCCTGTTTACTTTCCCTATAGATGATAAACTATTCTACAATCAGGATTTAAGATGTACCTTCCTTCCATGAATGAAAGGTTCCTGCTTATGTTTTGTATTCAAGTTATCTATTGTTGCATAACAAATTACCCCCAATTTAGTAGTGTAAAACAAAACATATTTATTTTCTTACAGTTTTTGTGGGACAGGAGTCCAGGTACAGCTTAGCTGGATCCTCTGCCCCAAGATCTCCCACGGGGCTGCAGTGTGTTGGTCAGGGCTACAATCTTGCCTGAAGGCTCAACTGAGGAAGGATCTGCTTCCAAGCTCACTCATGTAGTTGTTGGTAGGATTTGGTTCCTTGAGGGCTGTTGGACTGGGGGCCTCATTTCCTTACTGGCTGTTGGCTGGAGGAATCCTCAATTCTTTGCCACATGGGCCTCCCCAACATGGCAGCTTGCTTTATCAAAGCCAGCTCAAGAGAGAATCTGCTAGCAAAACAGAAGTCACAATCTTTTGTAAACTAATCATGGAACTGATATTCCCTCAATATTGCTATATTCTCTTGGTTAGAAGCAAGTTACTAATAGGGAAGAGACTACACAAGGCCATGCATGCCAGAAGGTGGGGAGCACATGGACCATCTTGGAGGTGGCATAGTAGCCTGTCCTGCAGGACCGTCCGTGAGTTCTCTAGGCTGCTCCATATATTTTTTAATTCCTGCTTTTGTTTTTGTTTTTGGCTTGAGCTAACCAGAATCAATGACTCTTGTTTGCATCCAGACTGCCATACTTGTTTGTTGCTTATAATTCTGTCATTTTGTGATTCTGGTTTCTATTGATTTAGCACCTTTCTCTGTGAGGTATGAGCTACTTGGTAAAGTATTTGGCATTACCCATTACTCCTTTTATCTCCTCAAAGTCACAAGTTCTTTGTCTGAATATTTCATTACCTCAGATGCAGCTAGTAAGCATCCAACTGAACACTTGTTTGAATATGAGTCTCCACAAGGATCATAGAAGAGAAATTAAGAACAGAGAATTAGCACTGTCAAAATAGGAAAACTGAATCCTGTTAATGGGACAGCCCATGAATCCTTACATTCAGCCCAGGCTTTTTGTGGTTTTTCCTCATTTGGGTCATGACCAGAGGGTTGGTTTCCTCCCAAGAGCTTCAGCAGAATTTAAGCGTCAGAAATCCAGTGCAAGCTAGATTAAGCAAGAAAATGAAGTCTGTTGGCTCTGGTAACTAGGACACACTGTGCAGGCTCCCAGGATCAAAAGAAGAATGACAGAGCTCCTAGGTCAGCAACCAGTGGCTCAAGGCAGGTTTAGCTCTTGTGGGCATCTTCATTGTCTTCATGTCTCACTTTCTTGGCCTCAAGATTTGCTATTGTAATCAGGTTTTCTCAGCTTGGTAATATGTAATCTTTGGTAAACCCCAGCTTAGGCTTTGAGCCAGAAGAGGGAAAAGGATTGGCTCAGGTGTTTATTCTCATGTCTGGGAAGACAGGGCAGTATACTAGGCCAGGGCCAGGTCACATGGCCAAATTCCAGTTGTTAGAAGGACCATGGGAAACCGACAGCCACTACTGCACAGTACAGGCGCTGCTGTGAACCACTGTTGGTGCCATAGGGATAGACAGACAACCATGCAAGTGATCCCTAAATTATTGGAGATTCCCAAAAGGACAAGACAATGTCTGTGGTAAAGGTCTGACTGGGAAATGTGGATTAGAGTGATCCTTTTTTAGCCAATGTTTTTCATGGAGTCTTGGAATTAATTTTATTGCACCCAAGGTCCAGCCTACTGGCAGAATAGAATCACATTGAATTTTTCCATTCTAGATTTTACTTGTTCCCTGACTACTTGCTAGTTGAAAAAAAAAATGTTAATAGAGATAAGAAGGCCAGGGATGACAAGGAAAATGACTGTCCATTTCATGGACTCATGACCAAGGTTAAATTACAATAACAAAGGAGGCCAGAGCTTTTTATTTACTGCAGCTTTCTGTGATTTGTGGGCAGATTGTTGTTTGTGTTTTGCTTTTAACCTTTCAAGTAAGGAATGATTTGTCATGTTCATGAAAACCACATGTATTCAGGGACCGTTTATTCTTAGAGTTAAGGGTAAATCTTGTTTTTAGAACCAAATAAATATAGATTGAGATCAAGATCAGTCAAACACTTCTGGAAGATGTAATATTGTGCTCTCTTTAAATATGTTTATTGATACCAATAATGGGCACTGCCACTTAGAAATATGCTCTTCACATAACACTCACCCTGTCATGTGTGCCAATTAAGAGGTGAGGTAGAGCTCAATCTCTGCCCTGCCGAGAGTGTATGTGTGAAATTGAATTGCAAATGTACATTGACATGGTTGTGACTTTGCATCAAGACTGGCAAGAAACATTAGCAAATAAAAGATTTGCTGTAGGGAAGGATATTCAAAGGTCAAAGTTTGCTGAAGAAAGTTCTCTGCTTATGCATGGTACTGGGATGCTACAAATCAATAAAAAGGCTGCCTCCTCTCAAGTTATTGATTCTTCATGTTGCAGCTTTCCCCCCTGACACCATTTCACGTGTGTCCCTGTTCAGGAGAGAAAAAGCATGGGGGGTGTTTGAAAGCTCAGGGACCATTGTTGACGTTGTCCCTGCTTGTGTCTTGCAGCCTACTTCTGCTTCCTCCTGGCCGCTCTGGGTGTGACAGCTGGTGCCCATCGCTTGTGGAGCCACAGGTCCTACCGGGCCAAGCTGCCTCTGAGGATATTTCTGGCTGTCGCCAACTCCATGGCTTTCCAGGTGAGGATGGAGGGTCCTCTCTGTGTTGGGAGACCCAGTGCAGATGGCAGTATGGGAGGAGGGGAAAGATGGGCTGACACCCCTCCACCCCTGTCCTAGACTCAGTGTTCAGGCCCCAAGCACGCCCAGTCTGTCCCAAGTTTTTATCTCTTTGTAGCTTTTAGATACAGTAAAATGTCCCCTGGGGGGGTTTTGTGCCCTAAGGCATGCTGAACTACTGAGGGGAAAGGAGACTCCTCTATCCAGAGCCCATGCTGTGAACATACCCTGAAAGCCTCAACATTTGTCCAGCCCTAACCAGGGGCCAAGTTCTGTGATAAGCACACTGGTATGCATATAGTATTTGATCCGCATAGTAGCCCTGTGAGCTAGATGTTACATGTGTCCCATTTTACAGATGAGGAGAATGAGGTTCAGTGAGGTTAAAGAACCTGCCCAAATCATATGCCTAAAAAGCAGTACATTCAGGGCTAGGCAAATGCAGGCCAGCCTGACTCCAAGTCATTGCTCTTACAACACCTAGTCCCGAGGTTGCCCTGCGAGGTCATGGTGGAAAGACTATTCCATCTGAAGTTTGAAGACGCAGGGATTTTACTCTGATGGGTGCTGGCTGTGAATCACTTCCTCAACTTCAGTTTCTTAATCTGTAAAAATAAGAACAAAACTTCATTCTCAGGGTTGTTATAAAATCAATGAAAACTGCAGGGAGCTATAAAAATGTAAGAGACGGTCATCACTGCACTAGGATTGGGCCATATTCTTTAAGACTATCCCAGTCCTAGACCATTCCCCACCTCCTTGGGTACTTTCCTTGGGTACTTTTGGTTTGGTCATGGATCTCTGTTTTCCCAATTCCTAATCTGAGTGAGAACAACTTGTTTTCAAAACTTCTGCCCACATTATGAGTGTAGATGATTCTGGGCCCCGTGCATTTTCACTCATTGGGAAGGAATGGTGATTGCGAAAAGTGCTCTAGAGTCCAGGGAGACGGGTGACCCAGGAGCTTCCCTGTGGCCCTCAGACACACAGCTCATGTGGCCACCTCTGCCATGGGCCTTCCACTCCTACGAGACAACCTGATGCGGAATATTTCACTAAGTGCTCTTGTAGCTCAGAATTCATTTCCTTATTTTAGGCATCTCTTACACAGTTTGACTTTTCATAAGGTAAATAGGATATAACACAATAGGTCAATTAGGAAACACAATTGGTGGTGTGTATATATACTGCTTGTCATTCAAGCACATCAGGTATTAGTACTGAGGTCCTAGGAAATAAGCTATTAAGCATAAGGGAGCAGTTGGCAGCTTCCTGGTTCCATGTTCATTTGTTCACCACTGGCAGTGTGAACTATGCTGCACTTTATTTTGACTTCAGCCATCTTATTTCAGTGTTGTGCTTTCAAAATAATAATTGACTTAGGTCTTAGATGACGTTGAGGACCTAACTTGATAATTTTCATTTCTTGTGTTCAAGCAATCCTTTCTTTATAGCCTCCAATGACACACTCATGTAGTTATAAAACATTTCTATTATTGGACTTTTTTTCAAAGATAAATAACTTGTAGCTGAAGCCTAAAACTCTGATTTTTTTTCTCATGAAACTACTTGTTTATAACTCAAAATTTGAAAACCTAAGTTTTCTTAACAAAACACCACATAACAGAATATTAGACTGTGATTTTAAATTTATTTTAGGGAGAAAGTACACTGTAGATGGAAGTACCCAGGTCCTAGAATAAATTCTTTGCTCTGCCATTTGCTAGATGTGAGCCTTTCTGCAAGTATCAGTTCCTTTATCTGCAAGGGGAGGATAATAATATTTGCCTCACAGAGTTGCTAGGAAGATAAAATAATGAATAAAAAGTACCAAGCTTATAGTAGCAATCGGTGAATATTGTTCTCCCCTTCTCTTTTATGAGAATTGATATATTGTTTAATTGGTTTCTGTATGCTAATGTCTGTCATATAGAAAACAATTAATGATTGTTAGGTAAATAAAAAAATAAATGAACAGCTTTAAAATGTAGTTTTAGAAACCATCAAATTTGAACTATGCATACTTTTTCAAGGCCCACATTTGTAGTGGATTTTTAAAATTCATTCAACGAATACTTATTGAGCACCTACTATGTGGCAGACACTGAGAAGGCACAGTGAGAATAACAATGAGCAAAGAGTCACAAGCTTCGCCTTCATGGAGCTTTTCTGTCTAGTAGGATATTAGAATCCCCAAAGTTTCCCAGTGGAAATTTCAGTGTTTCATGGACCTGGGGTTTTATAACAATGTCACTTAGACCTAGGTGGAAGGTACCTCTCTAAGATCAGATTAGGGCCAGTTTCCATAACATGCAGAACTGTGTCAGTGGGAGAGAACTAGAACAGAACTAGAACTAGTCAGTGTCTAGAACAATTTATTTAAACCACTTAACCCTATGAGGAGAACAACCTGGGGAAATGAAAAAATGCTATGATCTGCCAGTGTAGGATGGTGACTTACAACCCTGACTTAATGCAGTCATTGATTTAGTTTCCCTTTGATAATCCATGGGTTTTTAAAGATAGTTTCAAAGATTCTCTCTCTTCTCTCCTTCACCGGAATGGTCATGCCATTGGCCAAAATGGACAAGTCATGCCATAGCTGTCTCTGTTTGGGATCAGCAGGGTTTTTGCTAGATGCTACAAACAAGACCTTGAGCATTAAGAACAGTATTCTTAACGTTGAGACTTAAACATTTTAAACTCCTTTTCTTTTTCTTCTATAGAAGATGTATGTATGGGGCTGAGAGGCAATAGTAGGAAAGGTGGAGATACTTTTAGTCTAAAAAAATGATGATGGGCTGGGCGTGGTGGCTCATACCTGTAATCCCAGCACTTTGGGAGGCCGAGGCGAGTGGATCACCTGAGATCAGGAGTTCGAGAGCAGCCTGGCCAACATGGCAAAACCCCGTCTCTACTAAAAATACGAAAATTAGCTGGGCATGGTGGTGCATGCCTATAGTCCCAGCTATTTGAGAGGCTGAGACAGGAGAATCACTTGAATTCGGGAGGCAGAGGTTGCAGTGAGATGAGATCACACCACTGCACTCCAGCCTGGGCGACAGAGTGAGACTCCATCTCACAAAAAAAAAAAAAAAAAAAAAAAAAAAAAAGATGATGATGGGGCAGGAATGCCTGATAAGGAGCTATAAAATCCTCTGTCCCCTCTGAACCTGAACGCTTGTATTCAGCAAAGATCTCCTGAGTTCCTCTATGGTCTATCCTCCTTCCTTGCCAGTAGGGTGAAGTCAACCTAAAGACTGCTTGCAACTTCCTTATAATTTGCTCCAAGTCAAAGATGGACCCAGGTGAGAGATGCCTGTTCTCCAAGAGTTAAGTTTTCACAAGGAAGAGCCAGGATTCAGATTTGTGCTGTCACGCTCATGCATCTGCTTCTGCTGGCTACATCTGGGTCTCTCACAGACCCAGTCCAACCAAAAGCACCTACTAGATGCTTCAGCCCACTCCCTCGTGGCTCATATTTCCTTATCAAGTCATGGTAATGAGGCATTGGATTGAGAGCTGGAAGAGAACTAAAGGGATTTAGCTTAAATTCTCATATTCTACAGAGGAGTAAACAGAGAATACCAGTGACTTCTCGAAGTTCACACAGCTAATTAGTGGATAGACAGACTGAAACCCCATTGTCCTGATTCAGGCCACCCACTGGATATTCTTATGTGCTGTCCTACAGCATGATTTCTAAACAACATAGAGTTTAGTCTTTTTTTTTTTTAATCCTCTCTGACAGTCTGTCTTTTAATTGGTATATTTAGACCATTCACACTTAAAGTAATTATTGATATAGTTGGACTAATATCTACCAAGTTACCAATTATTGATATAGTTGGATCAATATCTACCAAGTTTCTGTTTTCCATTTGCTGCTCTTTTTCTTACTTTTTATTTGTGTATTCTACTCTTTTTCTATTTTTATGTGGTTTTAATGGACCATTTTGTATAAGTCTATTTTCTGTCCTCTCTTAACATATGAATTATACTTCTTTTTAAAAATTTTTATGGATTGCCCTAGAATTTGCAATATACATTTACAACTAATCGAAACCCACTTTCAAATAACACTGTACCACTTCATAATAGTACCTGCAGTAGCACAAGGACCTTCTAACAGTGTATTCCCAATTTCTCCCTCCTGTCTTTTACGACATTGTTGTCATTCATTTTACGTATCCATAAGCTATAATCACTAAACAAATTGTTACTATTCTTATTTTGAACAAATTGTTATGTGTTAGATTAAGAATAAGAATAATAAAAGTTTCTATTTTACCTTCACTTATGTAGATCCAGGTTTCTGATATAATTTTTCTTCTCTCTGAAGAACTCTTTTTACCATTTTTTGCAAGGCAAGTATACTGGTGACAAATTCCCTCAATTTTGGTTTGTCTGAGAATGTCTTTTTTTTTTTTTTTTTTTTTTTTTTTTTTTTTTTTTTAGAGACAGGGTCTCACTCCGTCACCCAGGCTGGAGTGCAGTGGAGCAATCATGGCTCACTGCAGCCTTGAACTCCTGGGCTTAAGCGCCCCTCCCACCTCAGCCTCCCTAGTAGCTAGGACTATAGGCACATAGCACCACACCCAGCTTGAGAAAGTCCTTATTTCTACTTCATTTTCGAAGAGTAATTTTGCTGAGTACAGAATTCTAGGTGGGTGGATTTTTCTCTTTCAACACTTAAATATTTTATTTCACTCTCTTCTTGCTTGCTGGTTTCTGAAGAGAAACCTGGTATAATTCTTCTCCTCACTCCTTTATAGGTAAGGAGGGATTTTTTCCACTCTGGATTCTTTCAAGATTTTCTCTTTGTCTTTGATTTTCTGCAGTTTGAATATGATGATACCTAAGTATTAGCTGGGCATGGTGTAAACCCTAAGTGTAGGGTTTTTTGGTATGTATCCTGCTTGGAGTTTTCTGAGTGTCCTGGATCTATGGTTTGGTGCTTGTCATTAATTCGGAAAATTCTCAGCCATTATTACTTAAATATTTTCTTTTTCTTTTTTATCTTTTTTGAGATGGAGTCCCACTCTGTTGCACATGCTGTAATGCAGTGGTGTGATCTCGACTCACTGCAACCTCCGCCTCCCAGGTTCAAGAGATTCTCATGCCTAAGCCACCCGAGTAGCTGGGATTACAGGTGCGCGCCACCAAACCCAGCTTGTTTTTGCATTTTTAGTAAAGATAAGGTTTCACCGTGTTGGTCAGGCTGGTCTCAAACTCCTGGCCTCAAGTGATCCACCTGCCTTGGCCTTCCAAAGTGCTGGGATTGGGCCAGGTGTGGTGGCCCATGCCTATAATCCCAGCACTTTGGGAGGCCGAGGCAGGCGGATTACGAGGTCAAGAGATCGAGACCATCCTGGCCAACATGGTGAAACCCCGTGTCTACTAAAAATACAAAAATTAGCCAGGCGTGGTGGCGTGCACCTGTAGTCCCAGCTACTTGGGAGGCTGAGGCAGGAGAATCGCTTGAACCTGGGACGTGGAGGTTGCAGTAAGCTGAGATTGTGCCACTGCACTTCAGCCTGGTGACAGTGGGAGACTCCATCTCAAAAAAATAAAATAAAATAACAAAGTGCTGGGATTACAGGCATGAGACATTGGGCCATTGCACTCCAGCCTGGGGAACAAGGCTGAAACTGTCTCAAAAAAAAAAAAAAACAAAAAACAAAAAACAAAATTAGCCAGGCATGGTGGCGTGTGCCTGTAGTCCCAGCTGCTTGGGAGGCTGAGACATGAGAATCGCTTGAACCTGGGAGGTGGAGGTTGCAGTGAGTTGAGATTGTGCCACTGCACTCCAGCCTGGGTGACAGAGCGAGTCTCTGTCTCAAAAAAAAAAAGTCATTGATAATGCCCCTACAAAGTAGGTACTATTATTTTCCTCATTTGATAGGCGAGAAAACAGAAAAGTGGTTATGTAACCTATCCAAGGACATTCGGATTTATGTGACAGAAGAGGGGTTTAAATGTAAGCATCTGGACTCCAGAAGTCACCCTCTTACTGCTGTGCTGTAATGCAGTAGTCCTCAGCCTTTATGGCACTAGGGACCAGTTTCATGGAAGGCAATTTTTCCATAGATGGCAGGGTGGGGGGATGGTTTTAAGATGATTCAAATACATAACATTCATCATTAGATTCTCATACCAGTCCGTGGCCCGGGGGTTGCGGACCCCTGCTCTAGTGCCTCTCCCAGTGTCCAAATGCACATTTATCCTTTCATTCAGCAAACACATGTGTTAAGCATTGTTCTAGGCACAGGAGAACAAGACAGACAAGGTCCCTGTCCTCATAACGTGTATATTACAGTAGGAGAGACAGCAAATGAACATGTGAGCAAATGAACAAACAAATGTATTCAGAGAGAGAAGGATATAAAGAATTAAACAGAGTAACATCACATAGAGGCCCAAGATGGGGCATCTTTACAAAGTGTGGTCAGAGAAGACCTTGCTGAGGAGGTGGCATTAGTGCTGAGACCTGAAGGAGAGGAGGGTAGAGGAAGAGCATCCAGAGGGAGGAGTCAAAGCAAAACCAGGAATGAGGATGCTGTGTCCAAGGAGCAGAAAGATGGCCAGCGTGGCTGGTCCATGTGAGTGCAAGGCCAGAGTGGGGGATGGGGGCCACATCAGTGCAAGGCTCTGTCAGGCAGAGTTCAGATATTGTTCTACATATCACAGGAAGGCACTGCCAGGTCTTAGGCAGGGAGTGACATGGCCTCATGCGTTTCCATGGCTTGAGTAAGCCTCAGAACACAGTCAGGAGACCCCAAAGAGTTTGTGCCTGTTTCAGGATAATAGACCATCCCCCAAGGCTGGGTCTCTGGGGGGTGTGCATGTCAAGGAGGGAGACTTGTGTGCGAGGCAGCACCCTCAAGTACAGCTCATGCTGTTAGCAGCAGCATGCAGTGGCGGTTGTGTAGAAGAGAACAAAACACCAGAACTTTAGTGCAGCTCAGGAATCCTTAACCTTATGTGGCTCTCTGTGGGTTCTAAGTCTCCCTTCAGAAATCCTGTTTCAGTGTTGCCACCTTTCCTAGCCATGAGCCTAAGCTTCAGATGCACAACTTTTCTTCTGCACATCAGAAACAGGTTTGCCTTCTTCCTTTCAAGATGGGTGGGTGTTGTTGGTTTTCTCCTCCATGTAAACAGGCAGCAGCAGAAGTGGTCCTGACCCAGATGCCCTGACAGCTTTTCCTGGTGTGATTTTGGAAGGTGAGATTTGCACATCATGCCTCACATTATCTTCTTCCACAGCATTTCACCATCCAGGGCACATTTGGAACATTTGGAAGTCATGAGAAAAGAGCAAATAGCTTGGTCGTCTCTAAGCAGTGAAGACGGTGATTTATCAATTCATTAAAGCATTGTCATTCCATGCATGCTGCATTGTAACCCCTTCCGTTATGCGGAATACTCCGACAAAGTGGTGCAGGTGGGAGGTGGCCTAGCAGGTGAGCGAGAGAGCAAGAAAGAGAGAGAGAAAGGAAACCAGGAAACTCTCCAGAGGCTGCTGCGTGGGGTACGGCATTTTCTTTCTGCACTTACCTGGCAGGATTAATTATACTTTCTACCAACAAAAATGAACCTATTAAGGTAGAAAATAAAATTTCCCCACCCCTAAGATGCCTTACTTGCTTATTTGTTGGGGATCTAGGTCAGTGAAAGTAGGTGAGATGAGAGAAATCATCTAAGAAAATGAACCTCAAGGGGATGAAAATGTGACAGTCTGAGCAAGAGGGTAATTAGACAGATGAACAGACCAACCAACAGGGCTAGTCTGTTTCTCACAGCACCATCTCCAGATACGGTGGGAACTCTTTAATGCAGATCTTACCTGCTTTGTACAGTGGATATATTTCTAACCACTTTAAGGCGATTAGATTTTTGTAAACCAAAAAAACCGCAATACTTTAAAGAGTTTTTATTTGAAGAAATAGTTGGTAGAGATAATTTTTGTAAACAAATAACTATCAGATTTTATGTTAATTTAGCCCGGCATCTGTATTGGAAGAAAGACACTGTTTTGAAGGTGAATTCCGCATGCAGTCCTGTCAATTGGGAATCTATTTGGAAACATATTTTCAAGCTTTGTGTTTCATCCTGTCTTCTTTTCCTAAAGATCTTTAGAAGTGCTGCACACAGTGAACCTCCTTAATCATGTATTTTCTCGCAACCTTTCTTTGTCTTAGAACCACAGAAGGTTAGAGCTGGGATCACAGGAGGTTAGAATTGGGGAACCTTAGAAGCCACGAGTCTAATTCTTTTCTAACAGCTGAATAAACTAAGGCCCAAATGTCTGAGCTTATTTTGTTTATTTTCCCAAACCATCTCCAAAAATGTTTATGGACATTGAAGAAGACTGTATTGCAATGCAATTCCTTGACAAGTCATTTCTCCCTGTACCTGTCACCAGCCATGTGGGATGAGACAGCACATTGTCATTGCATATTCTTTATTCCATTGCTAGCCTGCCAGACACTCTTATGCTGCTGCTTTCTAGGTTTCCCAACCCACTGATTATATTGCATTTTGGATGATTTCTCCCCCAGCTGCCTTCATTTGCATTTTTCTGAAATCAAATCTCATTGTGATAATTTCTATTCATATTTCTAACCTCTTTGGATCCATCTGTGTTATTCCTCTTTCCTCAATGATGTCTGCAGCACCTCCTAATTTAGTACCAATCAGAAATGTTATTAACAAAATGTGTAAGCCTTGTTCCCAGACATTAATGAAGATACGAAATGAAACAGATCTAACAGACACAGTGAGGCCTTCTGTTAGTGGCCTCTTCCCCACCCCTTTATTAGATATTGAATTGTTTTTCATCATTGGTCCTTGTTTATCAAAGTCCAGGCTTTTCAATCATCCTGTTCCAATTCCCATTAATGCCAGCCAGCGCTCTCGTCACGGGATTATCTCAGGAATGCTGCCTCAATGCCTTATCACGCTCCAAAGATACAATGTCTACAGGAGTCATTGAATCAGCAGTTTTAATTAATGATAATATTTATTGAGTTTCAGATGCCAAATGGAAATTTCTAGCTTTGCTTTTAAAAACTCTTTCAGAAGGCAGAAGCATTTGATTATTTTTACCTTCTTCCATTTGAATATTTCATAGCTTTTCATGTAAATCTGCTGTTTAATTACCACTACATTTAAAAGTGCATAAGCCACTATGTGCTTATGAAGAACACAAGTAATATCTAAGAAGTGGCCCTTGGATGAGGAGCTTACAATCTGATAGAGCTGGCTAGACTTGTGTGCAATAAAGACTCTTATAAAAAGACAATGTGGAGTTAAATTGCTCAAAAGTGTCACACTGACTTTTAGGGCTGCAGAAATTTGAATATGGGCTAGGATCATTGGACAAAGCCTACTGCAGAAGGGGAGATTTGAGCTGCACATGAAGAGGATTTGTCTAGGCAAAGAAGAAGAGGAGGGTAGGGAAAACATCTGAGCAAAGGTAGGGAGAGAGGAATGATTAGAACATACTGTATAAGGTCACAGCATAGTTAGAAAATCACCCAGATTGAAGAAGTAAGCTGACAGGGTATAGTGTGTTACAAATCTGGTTACCCATGTGACATCTCTTATTGGATGTCCTAACTTAGGCTTCGCAAACTCAGCATGCCCCAAATCAAAGTTGTGACTCTACCTTCTCACCGAAACTGTTCTTCTGTTCTTCTCCTAGCTTTCCCACCAGAAGTCTGGGTATCATCCATGATTTCTCCATTTCCCTAGTTATCCCTCACCAATTTTTAAGCCAATCCCTTCAGTTCTATCACTAAATTACATCTTGAATCTGCACACTTCTCATTTTTACCACCTTTTAGTTCAAGATCAACTTTTTTCCTAGGCTACTGCAAAAGCCTCCTGAACTGGTCTTCTGATTCAATGCTTGCCCCTCTCTATATTGTAGCCAGAGAGAGCTTATTGGAAATTAAACGACTCTCCAGCTAAATAAATAAATAAATATTTCAGTGGCTTAGCATTGTATTTGGAATGAAATCCAACCTCACTGTTATGTTCTATGGGGCCCTGCGTGATCAGGGCCTTGCACACCAGTCCTCTGTGTCCACCCCAAGTTGGTGTACTTCAGTGTAATTCTGACACTAACCACCCGGGGTTAACATCAGATCCCACAAGTTAAAGGCTGAGTGCTCCACATGGCTGTCCCCACTTCAGACGCCTGCTGCAAGGGCTGCAGAACAGTAGTGGGGTCCCCAGGCTACCTGTACTTCTGAATGACCAGTGATAAGTTTGGGGGTTTCCACAATCTCCTTAGGTTTGATAATTCACTAGAACAACATGCAGAACTCAGGAAAGTCCTATACTTACGATTACAGTTAACCCTTGAACAGAATGGGTTTGAACTGCGCAGCTTCACTTAAATGCATGGATTTTCTTCTGCCTCCACCACCTCTGAGACAGCAAGATCAGCCCCTCCTCCTCTCAGCCTACTCAATGCAAAGAAGACAAGGATGAAGACCTTTATGATGATCCACTTCCACTTAATGAATAGTAAATATATTTTCTCTTCTTATGATTTTCTTTTTTTTTCTGGATCTGCAGAGTTATTGATTCAAAGTTGCCACATGGTGGGGGTACAAACATTCGTCAGTCACTGTGCATGCAATTGGTGACATTTTAATTTGGAGGCAATTACCACCACAGATATCTTCTTTCATTAAAAAATAAAATAAAATTTTCAAAGCCTCTTACAGGCCAAAGGTCTAAGAACAAGATCCTCACTGAAATACTCAAGAGTTTTCCTGAGGAAAACTCAGGAGGTGGAAACAGCTTTGAACATTTTCCCACTGGCCACAGCAAATAATGCTAAAGTCATAAAGCTTTGGCACTGACAGCGTCAACATCTGCATGGGAAGTGGCCCCTCCGCCCAGCAGAAGGGAACATGATGCCTGTGGGAACCGTGGGCAAGCATCTGAGAACTCCAGGGCCTGGAGTCAGCACAGGGCTGCTAAGCACGGTGTGGGCTTGTGTTAAACTGAAAAGGTGGGGAGTGGGGATTTGGAGTGACCAGTGGTTCCCACCAGTCAGAGGCAGCAGACTCAGAACTGTGGGACCCAACATGCCTGGGTGGACAGTGTACAGAGGACGGTGGCAGAGGCGCCTGCGGCTAGGCTGCTGCCCATGCTCTGGAGGTTGCCTCGGACCCAAGAGCCCAGGACAGCAGTAGCAGAGTGTGAGATGGGCCATCCCAGCAGCCAGACCCTGCATAGGGTGCCACGCACCCTGCCCTCCGCATTCCCTCTTGTGACTGGAGGCCACCTCTGTATCCTGGACGATGGGCATCAAAGCTGTGTCCGGCCAGTGTGTGCAATATCCAGAGTAAAAGGACTCTTCCCAAATGGAGTCCTCTTCAGGGAGGTGGCAGGGCTGTGTCTATACAGCCTCTGCCCTCAGCCCCCTCAGCCTTCCCATGCACCCAGGAGGACCTCTGTGTCCGTCTGGGGGACCCCAGCACTCAGAACCAGAGGCTCTGGCTGGAACACCCCTGAGCTTGCTCTGGACAATGCCCAGCCAGGCTCGGACATGGGCTTGCCTCTCACCCCAGGGGTGTTCCAACACAGAGCCCTTTAGAACATAATAATGAGGTTGGATTTCATTCCAAATATAGTGCTAAGCCACTGATTTATTTATTTATTTATTTATTTTGCTGTAGAGTAATTTCCAATAAGCTCTCTCTGGCTACAATAGAGAGGGGCAAGCATTGAATCAGGAAGACCAGTTCAGGAGGCTTTTGCAGTAGCCTAGAAAAAAGTTGATCTTGAACTAGAAAAGGTGGTAAAAATGAGAAGTGTGCAGATTCAAGATATAATTTAGTGGTAGGACTGAAGGGATTGGCTTAAACATTGGTGAGGGATAATTAGGGAAATAGGGACAGGCAATGAGAGATGTCACACCAGCATCTTCCAGGAAGAGGCCAGCCTAGAAGCTAGGCATCCAGACCCCACTGCTGGGCAAGGTCAAAGGCACCGGAGCTGAGTATCAGGAGGCACTCATTCTGCAGACCCTTGAGATGCCAACTCTGGCCAGAAAACCCAGAGCACAGGTGCCACTGCATCCCTACAATCGGGAGCAGAGCAAACCCGGCCCTGCCCTCTGTGCCTACCTCACTGGTTAGAAGAGGCCACCCCCATCCAACCAGGGTGTCTGATCAGGGTCACACTGAGTCCAAAGTCTCTGCTCCCAGGACTTGCAGGGTCTCCTGATACCTGGTCTCCTCCTCGCTTCCCCAGCCCCAGCCTCAAGGCTTGCCTGGGTCCCCCTGGCTCGTGGATCCTACTTATCCCCAGCTTCAGCCTCTCCCTCAGGGAAGCCAGCTTGTGGGCCAAGGCAGACCTGAGAGGTTGGGGCCAGGATTTGAATAAGATTGGAGAAGGTTCCTGAGGGCTGCTGTTCCTCAGCGGACTGGAGTTTGCCTTCTGGTGTGTTTATGAACACATCTCAGGTTCAGGCTGGGTGGTTTTTGAGAGGAAGTGGGAAAAGACACTTGCCTTTTCCATCACCTTAAAATCACCGGAGACCCAGCCCTTGAGTGTGAAATCCACTGTGGCACCCCCCAGCAGTGGTGAGCCAAGTGTCGGCCTGGCTGCCCTGAGAGCCCCACGCAGCCGCTGATGGAGAACCTGACACGGGATACCGCCTCTCCGCTCAGGGGCTGCGATGCCTGCTCCCGACGTAGGGAGAACAGGCGCCAGCTGGCAGTCACACATCTTTTTCCTCCCTGGCCAGCTCAGAAGTGCTTTGGCCATGGTGGGGTGTGTTGTGTGGGGTGCTGGCTTCTCAGGGTGGTGGGTGAAGGGCACCCCTGCCCCAGGATGGCCAGGTCCACCAGCACTTGCAGCAGGCGCAGACCAAGAACTGCATGGGCAGCTTTCAGCAGGAAGTAGGTGGTCCCGAGGGCACTGCCCTTGTCCTCATGAGTGCTCTGGATGCTCATGTCCTCAGGACCCATGGCAGTGGTTGCAGTAGAGCTGGGGCAGGTCCATCATGGCGTCGGTCAGCATGGCCAGGAAGCCCAGAGTCTCCACAAACAGGCCCCAATCGATGGACGAGTCCTGATCTAACCTACCATGCCGGCAAAGGCCAAGACACACTCCACATAGCCCAGGAAACTGCTCCAGTGCCAGGAGTGGTGAAGATCCAAGGATTTTATGCTTAGCTCCTTTGCCATGTAGATCTCAGGGCAGAGTTTCACCATCAGCAACATGGACAACATGATTATGCTCTGCTACAAGAGAGGTGACTCAAAATGCCTTCCAAACCAGAAGAATGTCTGTAAAATATTAGGCACCAGTAACACCAGACACACCTAGCTAGAGAAGCCATCGGTAGTCTGAGTCCTCTGGATGTGACTGCACTGCGGGATCTACAGCACCACCCCTCCAAAGACCATGGCCCCAGCTTCCCTTTAGGAAACCAGCTGGTGCAAGGGCATCAGAAGCCCATCTAGGTCTCTGCTTCTATCCGGAACATTTGTGTTGCCCTGTTGGGCAGCTGACACCCACCTCTCTAATCACATGGCTGGTCTTTCTGGTGATCTGCTCCCATCCTGAGGCTATCTAGGGGCCCATGAAAGTCACCTCTAGGATAAGAGTTGTGGAATTTCCTATCAGGAAATTCCAAGGGTTTTTAAACCTCTGTGCCAAGAACCAGGCACAAAGACCAGATATATTCTTTATTATAGCATAATGTGTCTTAGACCTCATCTCATACCAGGCTTGTCCTAGCACCATGCTACCTACACAATGGCCTTTTCTTAGTTCCTCGATTGTTCCAAGTCCTTCCCTCTACCTGAGACAATTCCCCTCTCCCTCCCACACTTCCACCTCCAACTCCTCTCAACCTGAAGATGACCCAGTTAAGAATGGCCTTGCTGGCCAGGCGCAGTGGCTCACAGCTGTAATCCCAACACTTGGGGAAGCCAAGGCAGGTGGATCACCTGAGGTCAGGAGTTGGAGACCAGCCTGGCCAACATGATGAAACCCCGTCTCTACTAAAAATACAAAAATTAGCTGGGTGTGGTGGTGAGTGCCTGTAATCCCAGCTACTCGGGAGGCTGAGGCAGGAAAATCACTTGAACCTGGGAGGCAGAGGTTGCAGTGAGCCAAGATCGCACCACTGCACTCCAGCTTGGATGACAAGAGTGAGACTCCATCTCAAAAACAAAACAAAACAAAACAAACAAACAAAAAAACAAATGGTCTTGCCTATATTAAGGTCCTCCTTTGTTCAGCTCCTTTATTGGCTTCACAGCTCTAATCCCAGTCTAAAATTATTTCGCTTATGTTGACTTCATTTACTTTATGTTTAGTATTTGTCTCCTCGATAAACTATAAACTCTTTGAGGACACAGCCTCAATTGTCCTGTTTGTTCTTTATCTTCTAGTGTGTACCGGTCAGTAAATATCAGTCAAATTAAAGGATAAAATATGGGAAAGATAAGAATGAGTCCAGTCAAAGAAACCTGTCTGATTTTCAAGAAGAAGAAAAGTTTAGATTTTATAAGAAAAGTAATACACAGAGATTGTCAAATAATAAGCAAAAGAATGATAGATTTTGGGGAGTATGAATGGAAAGAGGATGTTAACAGTATGCCGAATGTATTGTGGAGAGGAAAATTACTATAAGTGGGAGGCAGTTAGAAGGTTATTACAGCATCCAAGTAAATTGATAAAAGCCTGAACAAGGGTGGTAGAGTAGAAATGGAGTGGAAGGGGAAAAGCTGAGATTATAAAGAAGAGTGCCCATGAAATTTTTGTTTTTAGCTTTCACTTTTATTTTGAAATAATTTTTTCAGATCTTTTATTTTGAAACTTAGAGAAAAGTTGCAGAAAATCATGAGCTTGGGTATAGCCTTCACCTAGATTCACCAACTCTTAGAGTACTGCTCATTTGCTTTATTCCCTTGCTCTTTCCTCTGTACATGCATGTGCATTCTTACGTGTTCTTTTTTTATGAATCATTTGGGAGTAAGTTATAGACATCATGCCCCTTTATTCCCAAATACCTCAGTGTGTATTTCCTAATAACAAAGACACTTTCACATAGACAGAATACACTTACCAAAGTCAGGGATTTAATGTTGTATCCAGGATTCTATAATAGTTCAGGGTCCAATTGAGGATTATGCATTACAATGAGTTATAATGTCTCTTTAGATTCCATTCATCTGGAATAGTTCCTTGTTTTTTTAATTTTATGCCATCAATATTTTTGAAATGTACTGGCCAATTAAGTTGTAGAATGTTCCTCCATTTGGGTTTGCTCATGTTACTTCATAATTAGACTCAAACTCTGCATTTTTGGTGGGAGTACTACATTAGCATTCTTGTGTCCTCCTCAGCATTGAAAAAGAGGCACATGACATCACTTTGTCACATTATTAGAGGTATGAACTTTGATCATTTGGTTAAGGTGGCATCTGCTAAGTTTCTCCACTGTAAAATTGCTATTTTTATTTTGTAATTATTGAATTAATTTATGCAAAGATTATGAGCCTATATGAATATTTTATCTTCATCAAACTTTTACCCAATAGTTTTAGCAAACATTGGGGATTCTTGCCTGACTCAGTTATTGCCATGACAGCTGCAAAATGGTGATTTTGTAACTCTATTATTTCTTCTACATTTGTCAATTGGTATTTTACTGTAAAGAAAAGTTTGCTTTTTCCAATGTATTTATAGCCCATGGACTGTTTTTTGATTACATGGATTATAATCCATTACTGTCATTATTCATTTTAATGACCAAATTACCCCAGTTTGTTCAGTGGGAGGCACTACAAATGCCTCTTTTTTTTTAGTATTTAGAAAAAACTCTTTCTTTTTAGTGTGGTGTCTTGCTGTGTTGCCCAGGCTGGTCTTGAAATCCTCAGCCTCCTGAGTAGCTGGGATTACAGATGCACACCACCACACGTGGCTCTTCTGTCATTTCGACATGCCCCATCATTTTTTAAGCACTTCCTTTCCGGCACAACAAAATATACTGAGCTCCCCGTGTACTTTTCCTACCCCAGTCCTGGCACCAGCCATTTCTCCACACTCCTGATTCCTTTTAGTGGAGAATGGTATTTTAAAAACAAGTTGTGGGAACTAAATATGTTCATTGCTATTGGGTTATCATTGTTTTCTAGGCCCTTTCTTCCCCCTCAATTTTTAACTCATGGAATAAAGGAGATCTAGTTCAGGAGACTAGAATAATGGTCACATCACTGACCAAAAGCCCTCCAAAGCCCAAATTGGAAAGATTTCCAGAAGACCAACTTATTTGCCAAGATGACTGTCTATGCCATTTTAAAAGTATGTGTTAAATATGTGGTTTTTTAAAAGTGAAAAGTCTTATTTGAATACATTCTCGTTGTTAAGAGATTTAAACAAAAGAGTAATAGAAGAAAATATGAAACATTTCTTTCCTTTTTTTCAAACTTTAAGTTTTATTGGCACTTTTTAAACTACTAAGGTTGACTTTTCAACACTTACCCAGCCTCTAAGACCTATGTAGACCAAGTGCCACATGAAGGCAAGGCAGCAGGTGGCAACTTGTCCTCTCAAAGCCACAATTTGCCAGGTGGTGTGGACTGCTGCCAGGCCACTCTTGGGGACTTTCTGGGATATTCTTACAGATTAGCCTATTATCTGGAGAGAAATAAGTACTGACCCCGTATCAACAATGGGGAAAGCACCCAACATTGTTTTTCACTGTTTGAATTGGCGTCTGAACTGGAGGAGATTAAGTTTAGACCCCAGAGACAGAGATAAAGTCTATCTCTAGTAAGCCTTACAGTTTCTAAGGAGTGGAGCCACCAGTATCTTTTTCTATTTGACCCTCTTGATAGAACAGCTCCTTTCCCAGAAAGGATGCCATTCAGACACACACACACACCACACGCACGCACACGCACATGCACATGTACATGCATGCATGCACACGCATATTTTCTACTCTAAAACCTGCCTGTTCAAGCTGACATGTTGACATGTTGGTCCTGGTTTCTTTTTCACTACTGACTGGAAACAAAGATGTGTTATGAATACAAGTGGAATTCCCTTTGGCTATGTTTTGAGACTGCTTGGGAAGTTTTTTGTTCTGGAACTTTAAACAGCCACAAAATTGAATTAAGGGATAGCAAAACCATCTTGGTGTCTGGTTGGGAGCAAGCAACTGTTTCCAGCTAGGCTAGGGGAAAACCAATCAATGATTCTGGTTTCAGATCTGCTGAATGGGACAAGCTAAATGCTGTTTACATTTAGCCTTCATCTTGCTAACCAGTGGAAATTATGTGGGCCTTAAAAGACAGTGTCCTCTGTTGCCATTTAGATGACTAGATTCGAGAATTTATTTTGAACATAAAAGGAAGCTGGGGAGTAGTTCTGAAGGAGCAGGTTGCTTCATACCTCTTTTCGGTGGACTCTTGAGATTGATGACCTTTGCTCAAGTCCCAGATAACACTCAAAGGCTGTGCGTGGGAGAAAAATCACCTCATGGTCAATTTCAATTTCTACAGTTTCAGTGGAGACCCCACTTAGGTATGTTATCAATCATGGATAGTGAAGTAATGGAGGCACAAAATACAGAATGGGTTCAAGCGAGGGCACTGCCACACCACTTGACGTGTGATTGGTTGATTAGTTGCTAACGAGAATAAAGATAGAAGAAGGATGACATAAAGGTGTATTAACAGACTGGATTGCCAGATGAATCTTAACTGCTTCATCGAGGAGAAGCTGGGTTGTTTTCATTCAGGAATATAGAAATGTTTTCAAAAATAACTTGTTTCTCCTGTATTACAAAAGAATAATCTGTTTATTATAAAAATTTACAAAACACAGACAAAATAAAAAAGAGTCACCCACAGTCCCAATTCCTAGAGAGAACCACTGCAAACAGTTTGGCTAAGATACTTCTTTTGTTTTTCCCATGCTTAAACTTATATTTTTTATTAAAAATGGATTCATAGTGTTTTGAGAAGTACTTTTCTTCTTTCTTTCTTTCTTTTCTTTCTTTCTTTCTTTTTTTTTTTTTTTTCTTGTAACAAGGTCTTACTCTGTTGCCCAGGCTGGAGTGCAGTGACACAATCTCAGCTCCCTGCAACCTAAGCCTCCCAGGTTCAAGCGATTCTCCTGCCTCAGCCACCCGAGTAGCTGGGATTACAGGTGCCCACCACCATGCCCAGCTAATTTTTGTACCTTTAGTAGAGACAGGGTTTCACCATATTGGCCAGGCTGGTCTCAAACTCCTGATCTCAAGTGATCCTCCTGCCTTGGCCTCCCAAAGTGCTAGGATTACAGGTGTGAGCCACCCTGCCCGGCGAAGAAGTACTTTTCTTTTAACTACTTTTACCTTCATCTTTCTAGGTCAATACTACAATAGCCTTTTTTTTGTTAATTAGTTTTTAATACAACACTAGTAGAATTCTTTCTAATAATTTCAGAGTATAGGATCAAGCATAAAAGTATTTCTCCTCATTCCTACCTCCCAATTTCATTCCCATGAGGTAACACTAAGGCTTTTTCTCTTACTATTTCTTTCATGTATATATAAGCTTTTATTGTATATGTATACACACACAAGTACTATTTAATTAATTTATCACAAAATATTTAATCAAATCCTGTTATGGGGAAATGCAGGGTCTTTCCAAGTTTTTATTGCAGTTAGCATCCTTGTGGTTAAATCTCTGAACACAACCATGATTTCCTTAAGATAAACTCCAGAAAGTGAATTGTTAGATGAAAATATATGCACAATTTTAGGGTTTTTGATATGTAGTGCTCATTTGCCCTTCACACACTTTCTGCCCATTTCACATTCTCACCAGTAGGCAGCATTGAATTCTTAATTCTTCAAACTTTTAAATTTGAAGTATAATGCACACATTGAAAAGCGTACAAGTGGCTGGGTGCAGTGGCTCATGCCTGTAATGCCAGCACTTTGGGAGACTGAAGCAGGAGGATCCCTTGAGCCCAGAAGTTTAAGACCAGCCTGGGTAACATAGTGAGACCCCATCCCTACAAATAATAAAAAAATTAGCTGGGCATAGTGGCATGTGCCTGTGGTCCCAGCTACTGGGGAGGCTGAGATGGGAGAATCGCTTGAGCCCAGGTAGTTGAGGCTGTAGTGAGCCATAATCACACCACTGCACTCCAGCCTGGGTGACAGAGAGAGACCCTGTCTCAAAAAAAAAAAAAGTGCATAAGCCATGAGTTAGACTTGCACTGCTCAGTGTGGTAGTCACTAGCTACGTGTGGCTACTGAGCACTTGAAATGCGGCAAGCCCCTGGAGGTGTGCTACAAGTGAAAAATCTCTAAGACTTGGTACGGAAAAAAAATAATGTACAGCATCTCAATAATTTTTATACTGATTATACATTGAAATGATAATATTTGGGTATGTTACACTAAGTAAAATATATTATTAAAATTAATTTTACTTGTTTCTTTTCACTTTTTTTGTTTTTAGTTTTTTTTTTTGTTTGTTTTGTTTTTTGAGACAGAGTCTTGCTCTGTCACCCAGGCTGGAGTGCAGTGGTGTGATCTCGCTCACTGCAATGTCTGCCTTCCAGGTTCAGGTGATTCTCATGCCTCAGTCTCCCGAGTAGCTGGTATTACAGCCGCGTACCACCATGCCCGGCTAATTTTTGTATTTTTAGTCGAGATGGGGTTTCACTATGTTGGCCAGGCTGGTCTCGAACTCCCGTCCTCAGGTGGTTCGCCCACCTCGGCCTCTCAAAGTGCTGGGATTACAGGCATGAGCCACCGTGCCCAGCCTCTTTTCACCTTTTATTTTATTAATTTTTTCTGTAGCCCAAGTTCAATCAAGGGTCATTTCACTTTTTAGATGTGGCTACTAAGAAAATATTAGTTATATTATGTGGCTTGAGTTATATTTCTATTGCAAAGTAGGACTATAGTATGGCGTCTCTGCTAATGAAGCCTACCACCTGAGCTCTACACTCCGGATTTGTTCTGTTCCTACTCCTCTCTCGCTCGCCCACCTACCTGTGCCTCATTTATGCCCAGCGTTCTTAGAACTAATGTAGCTCCCTTCAGTATTCCAATTTTTTATCAGGAATAATCAATTAACATGTGGTGAGAGTGCACTTTTAATGGATTGCAGAGTAAGACTGTGATCTACTGGAACCTACAATTCAGTATAAACTCTAAGTTGCAAATTTAATACAATAATTTGGTAATTGATTTGTTTGAATGTTTAAGTATCTAAGCTTCAGGAATTACTGCTGAGTTCAACATCATGTCCCTACCAGAATATGTACATGGAACATGAACAGACAGATTACCCATACTTGACAGTCAGTTCATGATGGGCATTTGTCATCTCTGTATGCCTTAATATTGTTTTTGTTTCCCGTGCAGCAAAGGTGATGGAGTGGCACACATAGTTTTAGACAAGAGCTATCAGCACCATGCAAACACTAAGAGGAAGAGAGATTATCAGGATACCGCTGGGGGTATGGCTTCCAGTACAGTTGATCTCCATTCACTCCCCGCCTCCCAAGGTTGAGATGGTTGGGCCATCTCTCCCTCCTCATTAATCCTCAGCTTTCCCCTCTTCTTGTTGCTAAAGCACATACTGACTGTACCAAAATGAGCTCTAGGTACCCAAACCTTTTCAACACAAATGCTATTCACAGGTAGGTTCTTTCCCCTACCCACCCACTCCCAATCACTCCAGAGCAGACAAAAGTGCAGGTAAGTAGGGAAGAAAGGTGATTGATTGGGTGAACATATAAATCTTGCTCCCTTTCTGCTCTATTGTTGATGCACATCTTGTTCTTTAATTTCTTTTTTTAATTTATTTATTACCAAGTTCCCAAGAACTACAAAACACATCTTATTCTTTGAGTCATTTTTCACTGGACTCAGCTTTACACTTGAAAACAAAACAATAACAAAGGATTAAAAAATACATCTTAAAGTATTTTTGGCTTCATTATGTGCTTGATTATTTGGAATGTGCTTCATTCCACTGTTATACTTGCTTCATTCCACTATTGCAGTCAGGTAGCTTCTGTTGGAAAGGTATCCAGGTGAAAGGAATGAAAATAAATATCTCTGTTTGAACTTTTCTTCATCATGATGGGTCTTTTCATTGTTGTTGTATTATAATTAATTTTGTGAGAATAATGTTTCTAGCTATTTGAAACTCTTCACTTAGAGTTTCTACAAGATTGCATGACATTGAATTAAACAGCCATGTATTAGTTCATTATCACATTGCCATAAATAACTACCTGAGACTGGGTAATCTATAAAGAAAAGAGGTTTAATTGACTCACAGTTCTGCGTGGCTGGGGAGGGCTCAGGAAACTTCCAATCACGGTGGAAGGTGAAGGAGAAGCAAGCTATGTCTTACTATGGTAGAGCAAGAGAGAGAGCAAAGGGGAAACTGCCACACACTTTTAAACCATCAGATCTCGTGAGAACTCACTCAATATCATGAGAACAGCATGGAGGAAACTGACCCTATGATCCAATCACCTCCCACCAGGTCCTTCCCTCAACACATGGGGATTACAGTTACAGATGAGATTTGGGTGGGGACACAGTGCCAAACCATATCAAGCCAATATAACCTTTTAACAAGATGAAAGAAAGTTTTCCATAAAAGATCCCTCCCTGCAACATTTGGAGAGTAAGGGAAATATTTTGTTGATGGAAATGTGAACTGAGAACCAAGGAAATGCCATCTTAGTTCTATTATGTTTTGATTTGTTGGATGAACTTATATAAATGTCCTCTAAGCTTTAATTTTGCCATCTGTGAATGGGGGACAGAGTGTTCTTTCTATGTCGTGTTCACATGGGCACTACAATAAAAGCAATAAACTAATGCAAAAGGAAGAAATTATTTCTTAGACCACAGCAGTCTTGATTGACATTTGAAATTATTTTACACCTCCAAATTCTGTGATTCTAAATAATAAAATGTTTTCACTCTGTCCAACCACCATGTTTAAATACACTGTAAAATCTAAAGACCTCTTTCATATTACAGTAAGCCAGGCTATAATTTTTGATATACATAAACCGCCATGCTCCTGTTTTCTCTCTTTATATTCAAAGCTGAACATATGCTTGTCGGAACTTTCTGCCTCCTTTTTCTCTCCCCCAAAACCCAAGGATTAGGTGGATTTTTAAAATTTTCGACCAGCCTGGCCAACGTGGTGAAATCCCATCTCCACTAAAAATAGAAAAATTAGCTGGATTTGTTGGCGCACATTTATAATCCCACCTATTCGGGAGGCTGAGACAGGAGAATTGCATGAACCCAGGAGGCGGAGGTTTCAGGGACCGAAGATCACACCACTGTACTCCAGCCTGGGCGACAGAGCAAGAGTCCGTCTCAAAAAGAAAAACAAAAAATTAGCTGGGCATGGTGGCATACACCTGTAGTCCCAGCTACTTGGGAGACTGAGGTGGGAGGATCACTTGAGCCCAGACGGTCAAGGCTACAGAGAGCTATGTGATTGCACCACTGTACTCTAGCCTGGGCAATAGAGCAAGACTGTCTCAAAAAACAAACAAAAACAAAACAATTTCTTCCCTTCTCATCAGAAGGATGAAGCCAATCTCTATGAAATGGTAGACTCCTAATGAGAACATTACCCAGTATTGAATATTATGGTATAAAATATTATTACTATTGTCATAATCAGAAAAGGCTAATGTAATATAATACTTAAATTTATTTTTATTTTCAGATTTTCCTATCAAAAGCACTGCTTCCCAATTTAATTCATCTTCTCAAAGTTTTGAAAGCATCATCAGATTTAAAAAAAAATTAGTGTAAAAAAACGTCTGTAGATCTCACTGACTCATTGCTATAGCTAAGGTCTCATTAATTGTAACAGTGAATGCCATCAATTCTTGGCCCCTGATAGCTCAGCCCCTGACACCCTCCCGTGTCTCCCATTATGAGAAGTCCAATAGGGTGTGCTCCCCACATGCACTGAGCCCTACTTCAGCTCTGTGGGCTGGGCAGACTCTGCTGGACTCTGCTGCCTGTCCTTCTAGGGGCACCAGAGTCTGTCTCAGGGCTCCAGTGAGTGCTGCCCTGTTCCTCAGCCACTGCTGCCTCTCCACTTGGTGGATTGCCAATACACCAGGTTCCCAAGGAGCCAAAGTTGTCCCCCTTCTGTTTCTGTTACACTCTGTTAGAGCAGTCCTAAAATGATGCCACTGGTGCCTTGGTATTTTGCAGAGATTTGGGGAAGTAGCCATTTGGGTTTTTTTAAACTACTGGCTTCCTGATCTCTGTGAGTCACACATGAAGAACACCAAAGTGAGGAGAGAGGCAGAGACATCTGGGCCAAGAACCGGCACCATTCCTACTCAGGACTGCCCCTCTCTTATGACAACCAAGATTTCATCCTAAGAACATCTCTCCCTCATTTTTTTTAACTTTTAAGTTCAGAGGTACATGTGCAGGTTAGTTACGTAGGTAAACGTGTCATGGGGGTGTGTGTACAGATTATTTCATCACCCAGGTATTACACCTAGTACCCATTGGATATTTTTCCTGATCTTCTCCCTCCTCCCACCCTCCACCCTTGATAGCCCCAGGATGTTTTGTTCCCCTATGTGTCCATGTGTTCTCATCATTTAGCTCCCACTTGTGAGGACAGTGGTATTCGGATTACTGTTCCTGCATTAGTTTGCTAAGGATAATGACCCCCAGCTCCATCCATGTCCCTGCAAAGATCTGGACAGAACAACCATTCAACCCAACAATGCCATTACTGGGTATATGCCTGAAGGAATATAAATCATTCTATTATAAAAACACAGGCACATGTATGTTCACTGCAGCACTATTCACAATAGCAACATGGAATCATCCTAAGTGTCCATCAGTGATAGACTGGATAAAGAAAATGTGGTATGTTTACACCATGGAATACGGTGCAGCCACAAAAAAGATCTCTTTTTTCTTGACATAAATGATCTAGGAGACTTCAGTCGCCCCCACCAGAGCTTTCCTTCAGGTCTCTGCACTAATTCACCCAACAAGCCTGAACTTCCTGCAGTGGGTACGTCCCACACGTAAGCTGAGATCCCTGCTAAGTGAAGATTTACTCTTGTTCTGATGAAAACCACTCCAGACCACAGGGGATTGAACTTGAGGTTGAGGGACTGTGGGTTGAAGACAGGAGGAAAGTGAAACCAGCAGTGAGGACTGGTGGGGGAGGGGAGGCTGGGAAGCTTCCCAGGAGGATGCTCGGCGGTGCGGTTCCTCTCTTCACTCAGGCTCTCATTCTCTCTGCAGAATGACATCTTCGAGTGGTCCAGGGACCACCGAGCCCACCACAAGTACTCAGAGACGGATGCTGACCCCCACAATGCCCGCCGGGGCTTCTTCTTCTCCCATATTGGGTGGCTGTTTGTT
Source organism: Homo sapiens (assembly GCF_000001405.40). NCBI lineage: Eukaryota > Metazoa > Chordata > Mammalia > Primates > Hominidae > Homo > Homo sapiens. The sequence continues at coordinate 82,680,792 of NC_000004.12, read as the reverse complement.
CGCAAGCATCGAGATGTTATTGAGAAGGGGAGAAAGCTTGACGTCACTGACCTGCTTGCTGATCCTGTGGTCCGGATCCAGAGAAAGTAAGTGAATGGGCATGACGGAGAGCTGTCCCTCAGGGGCCAGGACATAGAAACAGCACAATGAGGTGGACTCATAACCCCATAGCGTTCTTCTCAAGCATTTGCCCTAACAATTTTGCCATATTTATAAGATTTATCTCTATTTATTAATTTCCTTTTGCTCATTAAATTTTGCCCATTGGCACATTTGTTTTGAGTTATAAGTTTCATTTGTAATGGATTTCCTTTAAGCCCAGTGTCATTATCTTCAAACTAATCTTGCATGGCTGATTTCATGGAATCTGTTTCTGTGTTTCCCCACTGCCCCATTCATGATTCTCTGGAGTAGCAGAAGGGGGGCTGGCTTCATTTTAGTGACACACTTGACTCTACTTGACTCCAAAAGGACTGAACTCTCTCCAGGTATCCTACTGTGTCCTGAAATTCTCTTGTAGTGAAACCTCTGCCCTGCCCATCACTCATGGAAACGTTACACTAGTAGGTTTCTGTGCAGAGAAAATGAGACCATTCAACAGAAGGCCTCAAAGCACTCATATGCCCTGATGGTGTCGGCTGAGCATACCCAGTCGGCCAGCATTTGCAGGATGAAACTGCTTTCTATAAGCACATGAAGAAAGAGTGCCTACAATTGTGCTGGCAAGTAGAGAGCGACCTTTGTTCTTGGGTTGGTCTGGGTCTGCAAAATTTGGCTGTGATGAGCTTGTAGCACCTAAAGCAATAGATTTATGTGCAAAGATGGGCAACATATGGACCATGCTCCAGTTAGAGCCTTGAGACAGCATGTTGAATAAGTGGTTACTAGTGACCATCTCCACTGATGGGTAGGAGTCATCTGAGGACTTACCTAAACAGAATCTCCTTTTCAGACTGAAAATGGACATGGAGGCTATGCCTTTGTTCAACACAAGAATCTTTGCATGAAAGGAAGGATGGCTTAGGACTGTGCTCTTTCCCCCCAAAGCCTCTCCTTTTACGCTGAGGGGAGCAGTAGAGCATAGTGAGAAACTGGCAGACCCTGGAGACAGACTGCTGGAATCAAAGTCTCTGACTCCTCCACTTACTAGCAAATGAATCAACCACTCTAAGTCTCAGCTTCATCTATAAAATGGGAGTAACAGTAATACCTATCTCCTACAGCTTTTATGAAGATATTTTTAAAATGCATGGAAAATGCCTGGCACATAGTAAGAGCTTCGTGAATGTCAGCCATTATTATTATTACACAGGCAGTTGATAGACTAGAGAATTCTCTGTTTCCATCACTGCTTTCTGTTGGTTTCACTGTAGGGTTTTCTCTGTACATCTCAATACAGCTCTTTTAGGTGAAAACACCCGGTATCAATTCAGCTCTTTTAGGTGAAAATACCCAGTATCAAGTTTTATAGCAGAAAATAACAAGATGTTTTCTTTCTTTCTTTCCTTCCTTCTTTCTTTCTTTCCTTCCTTCTTTCTTTCTTTCTTTCTTTCTTTCTTTCTTTCTTTCTTTTCTTTCTTTTTTTTTTTTTTTGGAGATGGAGTCTCACTCTGTCGCCCAGGCTGCAGTGCAGTGGCGTGATCTCGGCTCACTGCAACCTCTGCCTCCTGAGTTCAAGCGATTCTCCTGCTGCAGGCTCCCGAGTAGCTGGGACTACAGGCATGCACCACCACGCCCGGCTAATTTTTGTATTTTTTAGTAGAGACAGGGTTTCACCATATTGGCCAGGCTGGTCTTGAACTCCTGACCTCAAGTGATCCTCCTCGGCCTCCCAAAGTGCTGGGATTACAGGCATGAGCCACTGCGCCCAGCCAACAAGATATTTTCAATTAATAATTCAATGATTTATTGACGTTGATTTTCACTATGAGTGTAAAATGTTGAAGGTCATTAGAGAAAAAGATGAAAAATTCAGAGAAGTAGAAAGAAAATCATTCACAGTCTTAACAGATAAACAGACACTATTAATATTCAGTAGTATCTCTTTCTATTTCATATATTTTGCATGATGGCAGTCGTATCGCATATGTAATTTTATGTCTCACCCTTTACCTCAGATTGTATTGTAGACACCATTGTCAAAGGCTGCAGAAGATTCCATCAGTTGAGCATGTCATAGTTTATTTAACCATCATTCTGTGGTCAGCTATGTATGTCATTTCCAATTCTGTGATACAAATGATGTTGCTATATAATTAATAATACTTTGGGACAATCAGACCTTAGATTAATTTGAAGAGTTCAGATGAGAAGGCAAAAGATTTTCTGTTTTATTAATGAGAAATGAGCCGGGTATAATAGTCTGGGTTTCTCTGACCATAAAAATGGAAGATTTTTTTTCATCTTTTCTCATAAAAAAATGTTGTAGTCTGATTCATTATGTGTGTATTGGCGGCACGTATGTCTAAAGACTATTTCTAAATGCAGGAAGAAGAACAAAGACTATTTCAGCAAGTTCCCTGAATAGTCATCTGAGAACATCTTTCATCACCAGTCCAGTAACTAAAGGAGGCTGTGGCTATCAGAAACCATTCATTCATATCATCATGTCACATGTATCATTGAGCTCCTGCTGGGAATCAGTGCTGAGGATACAGCTTAAAATTGACCTCCTCTCAGAACTATAGTTTAGAACACGTTCTAAACTATAGAGGTCACCCCTAGTTGCCTGGTCTAGCCCCAGAATGATTAAGGTAGAGGAATACTGCTCTTTGAGAGTACAGGCCAAACAGGAGAGAGATGGCTCTGGATCATGTAGTTTGCATGTTAAAGGCATGCTCCTGGCTGGGCCCTTTATTATCTCTAAGAATTGCCTAGGCCCAGGAAAGCCAGGCTCTCCCCAAGCAGAAAGGCTTTTAAGATGCCAGAACATCCTAATATGTGAGTGTGTGTTTGTGTAATACATCCTATGAGCAAACTAGTAAAACGTAGATAGAGGAAGCCAGAAGTACATGCATCTTAGATTATTCACTCAATGTTCTTGTGATTATACTTTACTGTTTGAAAGAGGCTACAGCTGTCTTCAGATGTGTGGGTGAGCACTGAAGTCCTGTGGTAATTATACAGCATAGAGAACATAGAGATCCGTAATCCAAAATAAGGCTTAGAATCACTGAACTAAATGAAGCAAGTTTCCAACATACACAGAGGCAGTCAACTGTTCAGATATTTTCATGTTCGTGAAGCTGGCTTTACCGGTCCTGCCAGTTAGACGGTGGAGAGGAGAGTCCTCACAGGAATCAAAGTCATTATATGTGGGGATAGGAGCTGAAGGGGTGGATCTTGGTGTCAGGCACCGTCACAGCAGATCTCAGTTCATGCTACCCTGGGCTGCATGGAGAGCTTCCTGAGTAACAGAAGAAGGTGCCCAGCTGCATTTGGGGCCCAGACTTGGGTCATTTCAGTGGCACACTTCTCATGGGCTGAATCTCCACCTGCTCTTGTATGACTTTCCTAGAGGAACAGTCCCTATTCCAGTTGGAGGCAATCAGAATTCACAGCTGACTCCACCACACTCCCAGGGTGCAATGTTTGTGCAGATCAATCAGCTAAGTGCCTCTTGGAGAGTTTACTCAAACAGGTGATAGAGACTGAGGATTTAGAGACTCCTCCTTCAGTCCACTCAGGACACTAACACAGATATTGCAGTTGATTGATAAACTTTTGCTGAGCCATTCTAATAACAACTTACTAAAGAAAAGCTTGGCAGAGAGGCTTAATCAGCTTTCCATTTTACAGTCTCATGGAAGAGAGAAGGTAGGAGCAGGAAAGCAACACATTTCAAGCTATACTTCCAGACCCTAAAAGATAATCTTACGAAGGCTGTCATAACAAGTAGTTAACTGGACTAAACCACATTTTGCTGCACTGTCAATGTGTAAATTGTGTAAAGGCAGCCATTAGGAGGTGCAAGGGAGAGAAGCCAGTGGTATTGCCTTTAGGCTCTGGCAACTAGGGCCCCTGTCCTAGGTCTTATGACTTAAAGGGCCACACTTCTCTCCACAAAGTGAGGAGATCACAGGGCCAAAGGAACATGGCACCTGCCTAAATCTTCCTTGACTTCTGGGCCAGGCCCTGGATTCCTAGGGTCCTAGATTCCTCCCTAAATGCTCTGAGCTCTCTTCTAGAGCCTATAGCAGTCTCCTCCTGGGATCTGTTCTCCCAACAGGAAATACATAGAGCCTAGGCCTGAAGAGTGGCCAAGGGGCAGTGTTAGCACAGGGACTTAAGTTTTAAAGTGTGAGGTCAGATATCCACCTAATGGGACAGAGCAAAAGGGGAAAAGGAAAAGGGGTGAACCACAGGCTAGGGACTTCCACCTATACTCCTAGCTTGAAACCTGCAAATGTTGGGGTGAACCTATCCGTGAGCCATTCATAAGGTTGAGCGTGGATCCATCAAGAATTGTGTTTGGCTTAAACAAGACAGAAGGTTATTTCTCTTATATATAAAAGAATTCTGGAGACAGGCAGTCCAGGGAGGACATGGCAGCACTGCAGGGTCAGTAGAGAACTGGGATTCCTTTATCGTTCTGCTCTACCATCCTCAGCAGGGGACTTTCATTCTCAGTGTCATTTCATGGTGCAAACTGATCACTAAATCTCCAACCAGAAGGGGAATCAGGGAGGCTGAAGGGAGCACATTGCTGAGTTGAGTCGGTCGCCTTTAAGGAGTCTTCCTAGAAGATACAACCTATCCACTTGTCTCTCATTGACCATATCTGTACCCAGGGAAACAGGGAAATGTATTCTCATGGTTAATGCGTTGGACCCTTGAATAAAATCTTGGTTTTGTTTCTAAGGAAGGAAGGGTGAATCGATATGGGGTAAACAATTAGCAGTCTCTGCCATAGCCACACAGTTGTTCTGCCTTAAGCAGAGCGATTTGTCATCTCATATTCCTCAGTCTTATTTTTTGTGAACCAAGTGGGTAGCCTCTCTGTCTCCATTAATGAACAGAAACTGGAATCTCAAATCATCTTTCTCAGATGACAAAATGAAGATAAAATCCAGAGACTGTTTCTCCTAATGCTTTGCTTATTCCATTGAGTCCCATTTTAGGGAAGACATTCCTCTAGAGGTTACATGTAAATGCTGTCATGCATTTTTAAAGTAGACAGGGAGGATGCTAGTCCAGACACATAAAAACAAGGTCCTTGCCTTATTGCCATGGTGATGAGATAAACTGAAAGAAAATGGATGGAATGGTTCAAAAGAGCAAATCAGTTCTGTTCTGGTGCCTTGGGAAGAGATCAAAATGTATAAATATTGCCATTCCAGGAAGAAAGGCACTCAAACATCTAGAATATTTTTGAGGCCTGTTTCACCTCAATTCATCCCCTAGTCTGTTATCTCTAGTCTTCTCTCCCACCTCCCAAGAATGAGCATCACATTTCTCAGTGATACCCTCTTTTTTGTTGTTTTTAAAGGCTCATTATTTTAAAGAGCAGTTTTAGGTTCAATTTAGCAAAATTGAGAGGAAGGTTCAGAGATACCCCATGTACCTCCTGCCCACACACATGCATAGCCTCTCCCATTATCAGCATTCCTTACCAGAGTGAATATTTGTTACATTTGTTGAACCTACATTGACACGTCACTGTCACCCAAAGTCCATAGTTTCCATCAGGATTCATGTTGGTGTTGTATAGTCCATGGGTTTGGACAAATATATAATGACAAATGTATCCACTATTGTAGTATCTTACAGAGTATTTTCACTGCCTAAAAATCCTCTGTTCTCTGTCTGTTCATCGCTCTCTTCCCCCAAGCCCTGACAACCACTGATCTTTCCACTATCTCTATAGTTTTGCTTTTTCCAGAATGTCGTATAGTTAGAATCATACTGTATGTAGCCTTCTCAGATTGGCTTCTTTCACTTAGCAATATCTATTTGTGCTTCCTCCATGTCTTTTCATGACTTCATAGCTCATTTCTTTTTCGTGCTGAATAATGACCAAAATGTGGTCCAGATCTATTGAAGTTTATTTATCCATTCACCCAGTGGAGGACATCTTGGTTGCTTCCCAGTTTGGTAATAATAAAGCTAGAGTAAACATTCATGTGCGGGTTTTTGTGCGGACATAGGTTTTCAACTCCTTTGGGTAAATACCAAGGAGCACAGTTGTGGGATTGTACAATCACAATATTTTTAGTTTTGTAAGAAACAGCCAAACTGTCTTCCAAAGTGGCTGTATCGTTTTGCATTCCCAACAGCAACGAATAAGAATTTCTGTTGCTCCAAAATCTTGCCAACATTTGTTGTTGTCTATGTTCTGGATTTTGGCCATTCTAACTAATATGCAGTGGTATCTCAATGTTGTTTTAGTTTGTATTTCCCTGATGAGATAAGCTTATTGTTCCATCTATATATTTTCTTTAGTAAGATGTTTGTCAAGATCTTTGGTCCATTTTTAAATCAGGTTGCTTTCTTCTTGTGAAGTTTTCAGAGTTCTTCATATATTTTGGATAACAGTCCTTTATCAGATATGTCTTTTGCAAATATTTTATTCCTGTCTGTGGCTTGTCCTTTTATTCTCTTGACAGTATCTTTTGCAAAGTAGAAATTTTAAATTTTAATGATGTCCAGCTTATCAATTCTTTCTCTCATGAATCATGCCCTTTGATGTCATATATAAATTGTCAAACCCAGAGTCATCTACATTTTCTATGTTATCTTCTAGAAGTTTTGTAGTTTTGTGTTTTACATTTAGAATTGTGATCCATTTTGAGTCACTTTTTGTGAGGTGTGTGAAGTCTGTGTCTGAATTCATTTTTTCGCATGCAAATGTCCAGTTGTTCCAGCATAATTTGTTAAAAAGACTACCTTTTCTCTATTGTATTCCCTTTGTTCCTTTGTCAAAGATCAGTTGACTATATTTATGTGGGTCTATTTCTAGGCTCTCTGTTATGATTCATTGATCAATTAGTCTGTTCTTGTGCCAGTACCACACTGTCTTGATTACTTTAGCTTTATAGTAAGTCCTGAAGTCAAGTAGTGCACTCTTCCAACTTTGTTCTTCTTCTTCAATATTGTGTTGGCTATTCTGAGTCATTTGCCTCCACGTATAAACCTTGCAATCAGTTTGTCAATATCTACAAAATAACTTGCTGGGATTTTGATTGGAATTGCATTGAATATAGATCCAGTTGAGAAAAGCAGACATTGACAATATTGAGTCTTCCTATTTATGAGCATGGGATAACTCTTCATCTATTTAGTTCTTCTTTGATTTCTTTCATCAGTGTTTTATGATCTTCCTCATACCGATCTTGTACATGTTTTGTTAGATTTATACTTCTTTCATTTTTATGGTGCTAATGTAAATGGTATTGTGTTTTTAATTTCAAATGCCACTTGTGCTGGTATGTGGGAAAGCAAATTGACTATTGTATATTAACCTTGTATCTGGCAACCTTGTTGTAATAGCTTATTAGTTACAGGAATGGTTTTTTATTTTCAATTCTTTCAGATCTTCTACAAAGACAACACATCATCTACAAACAAAGACAATTTTATTTCTTCCTTCCCAATCGATATATCTTTTACTTCCTTATCTTATTGCATTAGGTAGGACTTCCATATAATGTCAAAAGGGAGTGATAAGAGGGTACATCCTTGCCTTTTTCCTCATCTTAGAGGAAAAGTATATAGTCTCTCACCTTTATGACATTAGCTGTATATTTTTTGTAAATATTCTTTATCATTGAGAATTTACTGAGAGATTTTATCATGAATGGGTGTTGCATTTTGTCAGATGCTTTTCCTGCATCTATTGATATGGTCATGTGATTTTTCTTCTTTAGCCTGTAATGTGGTAGATTACATTAATTGACTTTCAAATTTTGAACCAGCCTTGCATACCTAGTATAAATCCTACTTAGTTGGAGTATATAATTCTTTTTATACATTGTTGGATTTAATTTACTAACATTTTGTTGAAGATTTTTAGCATCTGGCTCATGAAAAATATTGGTTTGTTGTTTTCTTATAATATCTTTGTCTTGTTTGAGTATTATGGTGATACCTCATAGAATGAATTAAGAAGTATTCCCTCTGCTTTTATTTTCTAAAAAAGAAATTCTCTCTTTTAGAAATTATACCAGTTATCATAGAGAATTAAATATATGGTCGAATTCACCAAAATAGAACCATCTTGGCCTGGTTCTATTTTGCAAGGGTATTAATTATTGATTCAATACACTTAATAAATATAGGCCTATTTAGATTGTCTATTTTTTCTTGTTTTGGTAGATTGTGCCTTTCAATGATTTGGTCCATTTCATCTAGGTTATCAATTTTGTGGGCACAGAGTTGTTCATAGTATTTCTTTATTATCCTTTTAATATCCATGGGATCTGTAGGGGTGTCCCCTCTTTGACTTATGATATTAGTAATTTGTGCCCTACCTCTTTTTTCTTAGTCTGGCTAGAGGCTTATCAATTTTATTAATTGATTCAAAGAACCAGCTTTTGGTTTCATTTATTTTTAAAATTGATTTCCTGTTCATAATTTCATTTCTCTCTGCTCTAATTTTTATTATTTATTTTCTTCTTCTTACTTTGGATTTAATTTGCTCTTCTTTTTTTAGTTTCCTAAGATGGAAGCTTAGTTAATTGATTTTAGATATTTTTTTCCTAACATATGTAGTCATGCTGTAAATTTTCCTCTAAGCACTGCTTTTATGGCATCCCACAAATTTTGATAAGTTTTGTTCTTATTTTAATTCAGTTTAAAATATTCTTAAATGTCTCTTGAGATTTTTTTCTTGGCCCATGTGTTATTTAGAAGTATGTTGTTTGATTTCCATGTATTTTGGGGTTTTCCAGTTGTCTTTTTTTGTTTGTTTGTTTGAGACAGAGTCTCGCTCTGTTACCCAGGCTGGAGTGCAGTGGTGCAATCTCAGCCCACTGCAACCTCTGCCTCCTGGGTTCAAGTGATCCTCCTCCTGCCTCAGCTTCCTGAGTAGCAGGGATTACAGGAGCACACCACCACGCATGGCTCACTTTTGTGTTTTTAGTAGAGACAGGGTTTCACCATGTTGTCTAGGCTGGTTTCGAACTCCTGATTTCAGGTGATCCATCCACCTTGGCCTCCCAAAGTGCTGGGATAACAGGTGTGAGCCACTGTGCCTGGCCTCCAGTTGTCTTTTATTATTGATTTCTGATTTAATTCCATTGTGGTCTGAGAGCAAACATTGTATAATTTCTATTCTTTTAAATTTGTTAAGGTGTTTTTTATGGCTCAGAATGTGCTCTATTTTGGTGAATGTTCTATGTGAGCTTGAGAAGAATGCATATTCTGCTATTGCTGGATGAAGTAGCCTGTAGATGTCAATTATATCTTGTGGATTGATGGTGTTGTTGAATTTAACTATGTCTTTACTGATTTTCTACCTGCTGGATCTGTTTGTTTCTGATAGTGGGCTGTTCACATCTCCAATTATAATTATGGATTCATCTATGACTCCTTGCAGTTTTATCAGTTTTTGCTTCACATATTTTGACACTCTGTAGTTAGGTGCATACACATTAAGGATCATTATGTCTTCTTGGAGAATTAACCCCTATATCGTTACGTAATGTCTCTCTATCCCTGATAACTTTTCTTGTTTTGAAGTCTGCTCTGTCTGAAATTAATATAGGTACTCCTACCTTCTTTTGATTATTATAAGAATGGTATATCTTTCTCCATTCGTTTAGTTTTAATCTATAAGTGTCTTTATATTTAAAGTGGGTCAGTTTCTTGTAGACAACATATAGTTGGGTCTTGTTTTTTGATCCACTCTGATAGTCTCTGTCTTTTAATGGATGCATTTAGACCATTGATGGTCAAAGTTTTTATTGATGGAAATAAATTGATATTTCCATCCAATTGATATTTGCCATATCAATTGATATGGAATTGATGTTTGCCATATCAATTGATATGGAATTGATATTTGCCATGTCAATTGATATGGAATTGATATTTGCCATATCAATTGACATGGAATTGATATTTGCCATATCAATTGATATGGAATTGATATTTGCCATATCAATTGATATGGAATTGATATTTGCCATATCAATTGATATGGAATTGATATGGAATTGATATTCCATATCAATTGATATTTACCATATTTGTTACTATTCCATCCAATTGATATTTACCATATTTGTTACTATTTTCTATTTGTTGCAATTTTTCTTTTTTCTATTTTTGTCTTTTATTCTTTTTCTGCCTTTTGTGGTTTTATTTGAGCATTTCTTCTCATTGATTTTTAGTTTTGGAAGTTTCTATTCATATTTCGTCAAACTCAGAGATTCTTTCCTCAACCATGTCCAGTCTACTTATAAGCCTATCAAAGGCATTTTTCACTTCTGTTACAGCATTTTTTATCTCTATCATTTCTTTGTGGTTCTGTCTTAGGATTTTCATCTCTCTGCTTATATTGCCTGTGTGTTCTTGCATGCTACCTACTGTGTCTGTTACAGCCCTTAGCCCGTTAATCATAGTTATTTTAAATTCCTGTGTGACAATTCCAAGGTCCTTGCTATATCTAGTTCTGATGCTTGCTGTGTCTCTTCAAGCTGTGTTTTGTTTTGCTTTGGTTTTTGCCTTTTATTATGCCTTATAATTTTTTCTTGATAACTGGACATGATGTACTGAGTAAAAGGAACTGCTGTATATAGGTCTTCAGTAGTGTGGTGGGAGGTGTGTGGGGGTAGGAGATACATTCTAGAGCCTTGTGATTAGGTCTCAGTCTGTTAGTGAACTTATGCCTCTGGACTGTGGACTCCACAAGTGTTTCTTAGTTTCTTCTCTCCTCATTTAGGTGGAACAAGATGGCTAGAATGGGCTGGAGTTGAGTATTTTCCCTCCCCCAGGTTGGTTAGGCTCTAAATAAAACCCCAGCAGGTCAGGCTCTGGCTAACTAGTTTCTCCCGAAGGTAGGTCTTGTTAAGAACAGAATACTCTGGTATATTTCAAAGTGGCTCTTTTCCCCTCCTCCTGGTGGAAATACAAGGGAATTTATTTTTTTTTTCTGATACTTACTCTGAGAACCTGGTCAAGCTCCTGGAAGGAAAAGTCACAAAAGCATGGGGGACTCCCTATGACTAGATCCCCCTTGGAGATTTTAACCTTCAGACTTGTCCATACCTAGCCTCCAGCAATTCATCAATTAAGGTCAGGTTTTCCTAACACACCACTAGTTCCTGTGAACCACTCCCTATGTTGTGATTCTCTGTATCTGCCTGTCTGTCCAATTTTGGGAACAGTGGTTTTCCCTGTAATCTCACATCTCTTACTAATCTCAGAGTTGTTGACTTTTTTTCAGTTTGTTCAGCATTTTACTTCTTGTTAGAATGAGTGGCAACTTCTGAGCTCTTCATGTGGAACCGGAAACTGGAAATTGATACTTTCCTTTTTTTTTTTTTAACGTTATGTAGCCATGCCTGTCTAAACCCTAAGTGTATTTCTCCATTTTGAGCATCACATATCTATCCAGGGCAGGGTGGTTAGACAAAACAATTTTTGACTCATCTTTGCTTCTCTACCCCACCTTCATCTTCTACTTTAGGGATTCTCAATGGAGTGGGATGTATCATCTGGGGATTTGCAACCAACCTGACTCCATCTCCCTTGACTGAATCCGTTGCTCTTTGATCATGGTTTTATGTAGGGCTTTGGGGAGTCTCTTTTTGTTCTCAGTCCATTTGCCATGAAGGTCCCTCTACCTGTTGCTAAGTTAATAGAACAATTCCTCCCTAGATGTTAGTGCGGTTGAGCACATTCAAAGCCTTGGTTGGTTATCTGTATTTTGTGAAAAACTCTGTAGAAATCATCTCAAAGGAGAGACCCTGGATGATGAGACATCCAAGCATCTAAACATGTGTTTGGAATTTGGGGAGAGACATGGAGACAGGGGCTTTTAAGTACAACCATGCTCTGCCACTCCCTTACTACTCAATTACCCTGGGTTTGGTGATTGCCTATTTTACTCAGGTAAAATACTGGTCCTGCAGCAGGGAAACCAAACTTGGCCCTAAGGTAAGCATCACTTGGCCATGCTGTAAGCAGAGCTCAGCTCTTTGGTATCCTTTCTGCCAGCTCACAGTTTAATAACAGATGCCATGAGGCATGTGGCATTTTCTCAGCGAAGTCGGCTTCTTTCTCTTTTCTACATGTATCACTTATTCATTTGACAACTATGTTTTGAGTACCCACTATATGTCAGGTGATGTTCAAGATGCTGTAGATTGAACAGTGAAAAAGAAAATAAGATTCTGGAGAGTACTTGCCCTATCTTTCTAGAGCTCCCCAGTTTGGGTCTGGGAATGTGGGAAGAGGAAACTCCAGCACACATCTGCCCAATGCCTGACTGGGCCCCTCTCTCTACAGACACCTTTGCTCCTCCCCATTCAATCTCTCCCATTACTCAATCTCCGTCCCACTGATCTGTTTCTCGGTTCACTCCCTCTTGTCTATTTGCCTCTTTCTCTCCCTATAGTCTTTGTCTTTTCACCTGCCAGACAGCTTTGTTCCTTTTTTTGTACCCTTCTCTGCATGGAGACATTTTGCCTCATCTGTCACACTGTGTTCTTAATGCCATGATGTTCTTCTTCTCTCACAGTTTTATAAGAGAACAAAAGCTGTTTAACCTATTGCTCAGCAAGACTCTTTTTGTTGTTGTTTTTGGTGGGGAAGTGAGGAATTTTGTCCTCTTATATTCTCTCCTCACTTCATCATCCTGCTTTGATTTATTCTTTTCAAACATTCCTTGTGAATGTAAATATTTCCTCTCCTTGAATCTTATCTCCCATTTTTGAGAGGCAGTATATCTTTGGTTAACAGCTTGAGCCCTGAAGTCTCTGTTACTCTGCCCTCACCTCAAACCACTACATCTTATCCTGGCTCTGCAAAAATTTTGAGAATGTCCCTGAAAATGACAGCTACTGTTAAACAAAAAAAATTGAGAATAAATTATTTTTTTCCTTTGAATAATTCTCCCTGCATCCAGCTGTAGTTGGCAAAAATTAAAATTCTGAATCTTCCAGTTTCAAGAACTTGGTAAAATCAACTAAAGAGGTGTGAACTGTGTTTAATTCGATACCTTTTGTTAAAAGTAAATGGAAAAGGTAAAATATCCTTTAACTACTTTTATTAAACTTTTGGCCTTTCTAAAGAGACATGGTTGTTGTAGCCAAACAGCTGAATTATATTCTGGGATACAAGACAGAGATGATTCAACATTGAGGTTACAGCATCAACACCAAAATTTCCCTAATGTAGTGGTTAAAATATTGGGTGGGGGAAAAATCAGTGTGGTACATAATTCAATAGCTTTTTATGAGTTTTAAAAATTTTCCAAGTCAAAAATGTCAATTTTTTTTGCCTCTGTAAGAGGTACTTTTCCTAGTAGAGCTTTAGGAGAATTTGCATGCGTGCGTGCGTGCGTGTGTGTGTGTGTGTGTATAAAAATACACCAACTGCATTAGCAGTCATTTTTCTTTCCCCACTTTGACCATCCCATTTCTATGTGCAAGAAATTCCCCTGGCAAGATGAGGAGACAGTTGCTCAAATTTCTGGAACCTGAGTACTTCACTAACTAGCATGGTAAACATATTAATCAACAGGTGTCAATGGATTCTGGGACTGCTGTTTGTAAATATTAACTTAATTGTTGATGGCAATAAAGGCATCCTCATGCATCTTTGATTCACTTCAGTAGCCAATAATAGCTATTATTTTTTTAAAATATGTATTTATTTTCCCCTAGATTGCTATAGTTGCTATTTATTAACTGCTTACTATGTACCTGCATTATGTCTTTACACACATTGTCTCTTATCCTTTCGATAACTCTGTCATGTAGATAGTGGTACCTGGAATCTGGACTTGAATTCTAAATCTTGGCTTCCCATAGCCTTGATTAACCAAGTCAAAAGAAGAACAGTATATGTTTGCACTAAATTATTCTTTCTTTAGTAAAATGCTACTTTACTACCAAAGCTAAGGAGAAAACCTAGCTAGTTTTTATGCAACATTTAAATATTTATGTAGAAGTTAAAGCAAGGTTAAATTTTACAAAGATCTTTTGATGCAAGTAGATACCATTCTCACTAATATTTAGATATTATCGATTCCTGGTTCTCTTTCTAGGCTATGTAGAGTAATCTTTTAATCTACACTGGACATTTTCTTTCTTTCTTTCTTTCTTTTTTTTTTGAGACGGAGTCTCGCTCTGTCTCCCAGGCTGGAGTGCAGTGGCGCGATCCGGCTCACTGCAAGCTCCGCCTCCCGGGTTCACGCCATTCTCCTGCCTCAGCCTCCCGAGTAGGTGGGACTACAGGCGCCCGCCACCACGCCCGGCTAACATTTTCTTAAAATAAAGAGACTTTCAAGGAAAGTGTATGGCTGTAGCTCCAGGGCGTCACCCAGTAATCAACAGTACTTATAAAAGGTTTTTATTCAATCGTTATTCATGTTCTAAAGAATTCAATCTATTATTATTGGTTTATGCATCAGAGAAAACAGCTCTTCTTGCCTTTTTAGTGTCTCTTCTTTTTTCCCATATGGTAAGACATAAAAAGTAGAGAAAGTTTTCATAACAGAAAATTCATTTTTAGTTATTATTTCCTTTAACAATTAGCTTATAAAATTTCTATAACCCCGCAGCTCTTGAAATCTGTATAATATAAACAAAATATAAGAATAAAATTACACTTTTTAGCATAAAATGTAATATAGGTTCATTGTAGAAAAATTTTTAAATGCAAATCAGCATCAAGATTAAAATGAAATAATTTGTAATCCTTCCACTTAGAAAAAAGATCAGTTAAAATTTTGCTGTATATTTTTCTAAAGTTTTTTATGTATCAAGCTAGCTTTTTAAAAAAGTATGCATATCCTATATCCTATGTAAAAGTGATTAAAGTAAGAAATATAATTTAATATTTACCTTTATTATTTCATTTCCAGCTTCTTTATTTTTGTATGTGTGTATCCTAATTTCCACTTGATATCTTCCTTCTGCCTGAAGAACTTCCTTTATATTTCTTGTAACACAGGTTTATGGGCAATAAATTCTCAGCTTTTGTTTGTCTGAAGGTCTTTATTTTACCTTCATTTTTTAAAGGTATTTTTACCAGACATAAAATTCTGAGTTGTCAGGTTTTTTCTCTTGGTATTTTAAAGATGTCAGTACCTTGTCTTATGCCTTACATAATTTTTGATTTGTATCATTGTGTGATATGTATTATCCCTCTGCACGTAATGTTTCCTTTTTTGTCACTGACTTCAATATATTTTATCTTCAGTTTTCAGCAGTTTGATTGTGATGTATCTAGATTCATTTTTTTTTTAAGGAGAGAGGTATTCTTGGGACTCTGGGCTTCTTAGATCTGCAACTTTTTGTCTTTCATTAATTTTGGAAAATTCTTAGCCATTATATTTAATTTTTTTAACCTGTTTCTCTTTTTCTTTGGAACTCTTTTTTTTTTTTTTTTTTTGAGACAGGGTCTCATCACTCAGGCTTCAGTGCAGTGACATGATCATAGCTGCTAACTGTAGCCTCAAACTTCTGGCTCAAATGATCCTCCTGCCTCAGCCTCCTGAGTCGGACTACAGGCACATACCACCATGCCTGATTAAATTAAAAAAAAAATATATATATATATATGTGTGTGTGTATATATGTGTGTGTGTGTGTGTGTATTATACATATATATATATATATATATAGAGAGAGAGAGAGAGAGAGAGAGAGAGAGAGAGAGAGATGGGGTCTTGCTATGCTGCCCAGGCTGGTCTTGAACTCCTGGCCTCAAGTGATCCTCCTGCCTTGACCTTGGCCTCCCAAAGTGCTGAGATTACAGGCATGAGCCACAATGCATGGCTTCTTCTGGGACTCTAATTACATTTTATTTTAAAGCATTTTATGTTGTCCCACAGATATTGGATGTGCTTCACTCCTTTTTATCTTTATGTTTTGGCTTGGATAATTTCTATTGGCATATCTTCAAGTTTACTAATTCTTTCCTCAGTTATGTCTAGACTGCCAATGAACCCATCAAAGGCACTCTTCATTTCTGATTTTGTTTTTATTTACCAGATTTGCATTAGACATTGATAAAATCTCCCATCTGTTCATGCATGTTCACCTTTTCCATAGATCCCTTTAACATGTTCATTGCAGTTACTTTAAAGTCCCTACCTGATAGTTGTAATATCCAGGCCATTTCTGAGAATGGTTCTATTAATTACTTTATCTCTGGACAATGATTTTTGTTCCCCCCCCCTTGCACTTTTGTGTGACTCAATTTTAATTGAATGCTGAACATTATTTCTGTAAGAACAGAAAGACCAAGGTAAATATTATTTATGCTTGAGCATGGGCACATCTCTTTTTCTTTCAGACCTTCAGTATGTGTGGGTGGAAGAGGTTGGGGTTGGGTCAATTAATCAGAAGTTGAGCTGAGTTTAGATTTTACTGCTGCTATTATTATCCTTAGTGCACCACAGACTTCACTGGATGGCTACCCTTACTACGTGCTTAGAGCCTGATGTGCCAGAGGAGTTTTCTAAGTATTCATTCTGTACCCTCGGCTTTTAGCTGTCCCTGCACACCTGTGTCACAAAGTAGATCTTTCCCTATGCTCTTGCTCCTACACAAAGGGTGGACTTCTGTTGTTTGTGTCTCTGTGCATGGCTGTTTATAAGAGTAGAGGGTTTCTTCATTGTTCTGGTCCAGTATCAGTCTTAGGCAACGCTCCTGTGCCTGAACCTTGGGGTCAAGGGTTTCTTAGCATTCCTGCAGTAGCCAACCTCTGCTGTTGAGCAGTGCAAGATCCTGGGCACAAGCAGGTTTCCTGCTCTTCCTCAAAGGGGCAGAAGATTTTTGCTTCTGTCTCTCCCTCAGCAGCAATGTTTCTTTGCCTATGTCTGGGGGTGAGGGTTTCCCAACACCTCTCCCAGAGACAAACAATTTTGCTTCAGTTGCTCTCCCAGAGCAATATACTTTTGCCCAGTCCTAAGGGCCAGAAGGTGTCTGTATTCCTCCAGCAGCTTAAACACATTTATGCCTAGTGTTCCATTATTGGAACGGTAAGCATGTGGGAGTTATTTATATCCTGCTGCTCAAGGTCATCACCAAGGTCTGATTGCAAAAATTCAAAAACTTGCAACCTCAGGCATAAATGGGTTAAGATTTTGCTTTGTAAGAGAGGGCCCTGGGGAAGAAGGCAAGGCTTTGTTCTTGTTGCCAGTAGCAGCTGATCAGCTCCTGCATGTCTATGTGGCAGAGGGGGTCCTGGGTCTCCACTCTACCCTGTCCCCAACCTTCCTTGTGAGCACCCAGTTAGGGGCCCTAAAGAAAAGCTTGAGTGTGAATACAAACTCTTTTGTGTCCGAGGCTTGAGGCTATCCCATATTGACCTTCAAGAATTTTGTTAAATTTTTAGCTGACTTCTTCTTATCTACTTGTGTGGTAGCCATCTCTTTCTCCTTGCTTTGACAAAAGTGAAGCCATTCATATTCATGTGTACTGTCTCTCCTTGGATGGGTTTATGACTCTTTGGAATTCAGATTACTTAGTTGCCTTGTGACCTTAACTCTTGATGAGTTAAAGAAAAGTTATGGTTGTGTATATTAGTTAGCTTTTTCTCATTGTCGAGGTGACAGCAATATTCCCTAGTGACTTTCTACATCTAAGCAGACACAGAACTCTGCATCCTATTTTATAGTCTGCATTTTTCATCTAACAGAATACTGTAAAATCTTTCTAGTTTAATGGTTGCTTAATATTTCATTGTGACGATGTATCATAATTATTTTTCATGAACACTGAAGGATTTCTACCATGTGTGTTTTTTTTTTTTTTTTTTTGAGACGGAGTTTGCTCGTTGCCCAGGCTGGAGTGCAATGGCGTGGTCTCGGCTCACTGCAATCTCCGTCTCCCAGGTTCAAGAGATTCTCCTGCCTCAGCCTCCCAAGTAGCTGGGATTACAGGCACCCATCACCATGCCCAGCTAATTTTTGTATTTTTAGGAGAGACAGGGTTTCACCATGTTGGCCAGGCTGGTCTCAAACTTCTGACCTCAGGTGATCCACCTACCTCAGCCTCCCAAAGTGCTGGGATTACAGGCATGAGCCACCATACCCGGCCCCATCTTTTTTTTTTTTAACCATTATAATAATGGTATGATGATCAACTTGGTATATAAATCTTTGACCACAGCTATGATACTTTCCTTTAGCTAAAATCAGAATTGCCAAGTCAAATAATACATAGAACTCTTGGCTTTTTATACCTATTTTCATATTAATTTCAAAATCTTTGATTACAATTTTATGTTTTGGGCCATTTGTAGCATTGCCTTTTAAAACAGATAGCTGGGCGTGGTGGCTCATGCTTGTTATCCCAGCACTTTTGGAGGCTGAGGTGAGAGAATTGCTTTAAGCCAGGAGTCTGAGACCAGCCTGGGCAACATAGATCCTGTCTCTACCAAAAATAAGAAAATTAGCTGAGCACGATGGCATGTGCTTATAGTTCCAGCTACTTAGGAGGCTGAGGCAGGAGGATTGCTTCAGCTCAGGAGTTTGAGGCTGCAGTGAGCTGTGATTGAGCCACTGCACTGCAGCCTGAGTGAGTGACACAGGGAGACCCTGTCTCATAAATAAATAAATAACATACACTGTTCTGTTCACTACCCATGGCCAAAGACAAAGACACTGTCTCTTCATTTCCCTCCTTTTTTGTTGGAGAGAAAAATCTGACACAGTGGAAACGTCCCCACGTCCCTGTCCAGAACCCTGCCACCTCTCAGTGGAGGAAGAAGGTAGAATGGTCACAAAATCTGGTGTCTAGGTAGGTGAATTAACAGATGGGGTGTGTTGCGTATTTCTCATGTTTACTCTCTTCAGCTCTCTGCGCTAGGACATATGACTCCATAATTCATGAATGTCACCTTAGTGCTGGTTTACAACCTGAAAGTCTCTTTTTCTAAAGAACCTAATTAATGCTGGGCTAGAAAGAGAGTGGCATAGGAGAAAAATTTGTTTAAACAAGAGGCATCTGAAGGCATAAATGCATGTACTTAAGGCAAGACACGGAGTGATTAGCTAGAAACACATCCATTATTTTTGCTGTCCAAATTGTTCTTTCCATAAGATGATTTGTGAGGTTGATGTCCTTGTGACAGCAATTTTCTGAAAATATTAAATAAGGCTGAGTCCCTTTTAAAAATCAAGAGCATGATTCATACATATTTGTGAAATGTAAGTACCTTTTCTCTCTTACTGCTGCAAACTGCTGACAGCAATGTATTATGAGACCCCTCGTCAGTTGACAGTTGAAGTGGAAATATTGTTGTAAGTAATGAATTTGTTGATAGCTGTTCCATTACCCAGAATGAATATTTAGATTAGTCATGTGCAGGCTGTCATGTCAGAGCTACCAGGAGCTTTTCCTTTTATCTAATTTACTCTTAATTCCTCAGTCCCCATCTCACCATGTTATATCCTATTGAGTGTGTCAAGGGATGATTAGATTGAGAGATGCAAGGTTTTGTTATTGACACAATTTCTACAGGAGCACTAGAGAAATTAAACCCTTGCTGAACAAACCTGGGTGGAACTCTCAGTCATTTTCTTTATTTTTTATCAGTACACAGCACATCCAGAAAGAAGGAAGAGCTCTCAATCAAGAGGCAGCGTGTGAGATGCTTCGTGAATGGCATCAAGGGCATATATTGAAAGTCACCCTTCCCGGATTACACATTTTAGCTTTGTTACATACTCATTGTAACCACTCCGAAAAGTGCTGCTTGATGCTGCGTGCTCTTTCTGTGTCCCTGGAGGTATTCTGAAGGTCAGAAGAGAGATATACAACAGCGAGGCTTGGTGATAACGTATAGAATAACAGACGGGGACTCCACACCCAGGCCTTTTTTAACGGTGTGAAGCATAGACAGAGCTGCAGTCTGTGCTAACATTAGGTTATTTATTGATTCAATCAGTTGACACAAGGAGGCAGCTACGGGGAGGTAAAATATGGTCCTAAAATCAAAAAGATTTCAGTTTTGTCATTCTGTCTCTGAGATTCTATTTCCACATCTAGAGCAGGGTAATAATGATACCTACCTTACAAAATTATTGGGAGAATACATTAGTTAATATATGTGAAAGTATGGAGGAGATGTGCAATAAATATTTGTGTTATTAACTACACATACAGCACTCTATAGGAGATATTCCATTTATAAAAACTTTAGGTTCTAAAAACCTGTACACGTTGATTATTTTTGTAAGTCAAAAGTGATTAAGAGGAGTTTAAGCTATCATTTCCAGATGTATTTCTATAAATAAAAACATAAGTATATTCAGTTGATTTGGGGTGGAGAGTTCCATAGATGTCTGTTAGGTCCGCTTGGTCCAGAGCTGAGTTCAAGTCCTGAATATCCTTGTTAATTTTCTGTCTTGTTGATCTGTCTAATATTGACAGTGGGGTATTAAAGTCTCCCACTATTATTATATGGGAGTCTAAGTCTCCTTGTAGGTCTCTAAGAACTTGCTTTATGAATCTGGGTGCTCCTGTATTAGGTGCATACATATTTAGGATAGTTAGCTCTTCTTGCTGCATTGATCCCATTACCATTATATAATGCCCTTCTTTGTCTTTTTTGATCTTTGTTGGTTTAAAGTCTGTTTTATTAGAGACTAGGATTGCAACCCCTGCTATTTTTTTTTTTTTTTTTGCTTGATAAATATTCCTGTATCCCTTTATTTTGAGCCTATATGTGTCTTTGCACGTGAGGTGGGTCTCCTGAATACAGCACACCGATGGGTTTTGACTCTATCTAATTTGCCAGTCTGTGTCTTTTAATTGGGGCATTTAGCCCATTTACATTTAAGATGAATATTGTTATGTGTGAAAATCAACAGAATATACATTCTTCTCAACACCACATCACACTTATTCTAAAATTGGCCATATAATTGGAAGTAAAACACTCCTCAGCAAATGCAAAAGAATGGAAATCATAACAGTCTTTCAGACCACAGTGCAATCAAAGTAGAACTCAGGATTAAAAAATTCACTCAAAACCGCACAACCACCTGGAAACTGAACAACCTGCTCCTGAATGACCACTGGGTAAATAACGAAATTAAGGCAGAAATAACTAAGTTCTTTGAAACCAATGAGAACAAAGACACAATGTACCAGAAGCCCTGGGACACAGCTAAACCAGTGTTTAGAGGGAAATCTATAGCACTAAATGTCCACAGGAGAAAGCAGGAAAGATCTAAAATTGACATCCTAATATCACAATTAAAAGAACTAGAGAAGCAAGAGCAAACAAATTCAAAAGCTAGCAGAAGATAAGAAATAACTAAGATCAGAGCAGAACTGAAGGAGATAGAGACACGAAAAACCCTTCAAAAAATCAATGAATCCAGAAGCTGTTTTTTTGAAAAGATTAACAAAATAGACTGCTAGCCAGACTAATAAAGAAGAAAAGGGAGAAGAATCAGATAGACACAATAAAAAATGATAAAGGGGATATCACCACTGATCCCACAGAAATACAAACTACCATCAGAGAATACTATAAACACCTCTACACAAATAAACTAGAAAATCTAGAAGAAATGGATAAATTCCTGAACACATCCACTCTTCCAGGACTACACCGGGAAGAAGTCGAATCCCTCAATAGACCAATAACAAGTTCTGAAATTGAGGCAGTAATTAATAGCCTACCAACCAAAAAAAGCCAAGGACCAGAGGGATTCACAGCCAAATTCTACCAGAGGTAAAAAGAGGAGCTGGTACCATTCCTTCTGAAACTATTCCAAACAATAGAAAAAGAGGGACTCCTCCCTAACTCATTTGATGAGACCAGCAGCTCCTGATACCAAAACCTGGCAGAGACACAACAAAAAAAAGAAAATATCAGGCCAATATCCCTGATGAACATTGATGCAAAAATCCTCAGTAAAATACTGGCAAACCAAATCCAGCAGCACATCAGGAGATCAAGACCATCCTGGCCAACATGGTGAAACCCCATCTCCACTAAAATACAAAAAAAAAAAAAAAAAAAAAAAAAAGCCAGGTGTGGTAGCACACACTTGTAGTCCCAGCTACTCAGGAGGCTGAGACAGGGGAATCACTTGAACCTGGGAGGCAGAGGTTGCAGTGAGCTGAGATGGCACCACTGCACTCCAGCCTGGTGACACAGCAAGACTCCATCTAAAAAAAAAAAAAAAAAAAGCTTATCCACCACAATCAAGTCAGCTTCATCCCTGGGATGCAAGGCTCGTTCAACATACACATATCAATAAACGTAATCCATCACATAAACAGAACCAATGACAAAAACCACATAATTATCTCAATAGATGCAGAAAAGGCCTTCAATAAAATTCAACACCCCTTCATGCTAAAAACTCTCAATAAACTAGGTATTGATGGAATGTATTTCAAAATAATAACAGCTATTTATGACAAACCCACAGCCAATATCATACTGAATGGGCAAAAGTTGGAAGCATTCCCTTTGAAACCAGCACAAGACAAGGATGCCCTCTCTCACCACTCCTATTCAATGTAGTATTGGAAGTTCTGGCCAGGGCAGTCAGACAAGAGAAAGAAATAAAGGGTATTCAAATAGGAAGAGAGGAAGTCAAATTGTCTCTGTTTGCAGATGACATGATTGTATATTTAGAAAACCCCATCATCTTAGCCCAAAATCTCCTTAAGCTGATAAGCAACTTCAGCGATGTTTCAGGATACAAAATCAATGTGCAAAAATCACAAGCATTCCTGTACACCAATAGTAGACAAACAGCCAAATCATGAGTGAATTCCCATTTGCAATTGCTACAAAGAGAATGAAATACCTAGGAATACAACTCACAAGGGATGTGAAGGACCTCTTCAAGGAGAACTACAAACCACTGTTCAAGGAAATAAGAGAGGATACAAACAAATGGAAAAACATTCCATGTTCATGGATAGAAAGAATCAATATTGTGAAAATGGCCATACTGCCCAAAGTAATTTATAGATTCAGTGCTATCCCCATCAAGCTACCATTGACTTTCTTCACAGACTTAGAAAAAACTACTTTAAATTTCATATGGAACCAAAAAAGAGCCTGTATAACCAAGACAATCCTAAGCAAAAAGAGCAAAGCTGGAGGCATCACGCTGCCTGACTTCAAACTATATTACCAGGCTACAGTAACTGAAACAGCATGGTACTGGTACCAAAACAGATACACAGACCAATGAAACAGAACAGAAGCCTCAGAAATAATGCCACACATCTACAACCATCTGATCTTTGATGAACCTGACAAAAACAAGCAATGGGAAAAGGATTCCCTATTTAATAAATGATGTTCTGAAAACTGGCTAACCAAATGCAGAAAACTGAAACTGGACCCTTTCCTTACACCTTGTATAAAAATTAACTCAAGATGGATTAAAAACTTAAATGTAAGACCTAAAACCATAAAAACCCTAGAAGAAAAACCTAAGCAATACCATTCAGGACATAGTCATGAGCAAAGACTTCATGACTAAAACACCAAAAGCAACGGCAATGAAAGCCAAAATTGACAAATGGGATCTAATTAAACTAGAGAGCTTCTGCACAGCAAAAGAAACTATCATCAGAGTGAACAGGAAACCTACAGAATGGGAGAAAATTTTTGCAATCTATTCATCTGACCAAGGGCTAATATCCAGAATCTACAAAGAACTTAAACAAATTTACAAGAAAAAAACAACCCTATCAAAAAGTGGGCAAAGGATATGAACAGACATTTCTCAAAAGAAGACATTTATGAGGGCAACAAACATATGAAAAAAAGCTCATTATCACTGGTCATTAGAGAAATGCAAATCAAAACCACAATAAGATACCATCTCATACCAGTTACAATGGCGATCATTAAAAAGTCAGAAAACAACAGATGATGGACAGGGTGTGGAGAAATAGGGACACTTTTACACTGTTGGTGGGAGTATAAATTAGTTCAACCATTGTGGAAGACAGTGTGGTGATTCCTCAAGGATCTAGAGCCAGAAATACCATTTGGCCCAGCAATCCCATTACAGGGTATATGCCCAAAGGATTATAAATCATTCTACTATAAAGACACATGCACATGTATGTTTATTGCAGCACTATTCACAATAGCAAAGACTTGGAACCAACCCAAATGCCCATTTATAGGCTGGATAAAGAAAATGTGGCACATATATACCATGGAATACTATGCAGCCATAAAAAAAGATGAGTTCACATCCTTTGCAGGGACATGGATGAATCTGGAAACCATCATTCTCAGCAAACTAACGCAGGAACAGAAAACCAAGCACTGCATGTTCTCCCTCTTAAGTGGAAGTTGAGCAATGAAACCACATGGACACAGGGAAGGGAACATCACACACCCTGGCCTGTTGGGGGGTTGTGGGGGGATGCTAAGGGAGGGATAGCATTAGGAGAAATACCTAATGTAGGTGATGGGTTGATGGGTGCAGCAAACCACCATAGCACGTGTATACCTATGTAACAAATCTGTACATTCTGCAATGTATCCCAGAACTTAAAGTATAATAATAATAATAATAAAATATATAAGTAGTCTTATCAAAGCTTTAAAACCAGGAGTACTTGTCTTTTCCCTACATTCTATTAAACATTTTCCCCTATTGTGGACCTTTGATGTCTACAGTGTTTTCATTTGCCACCCACTGACCAGCTGATGTTCTGCTGATTTGGGTGGTCTCTGAACCCAGCAACTTGGAACTCAAGGAGCCACCCTTGGCTTACAGCAGACATGTCAGCAACAGCTGTTTCACTGTGCTTAGGCTTAAGTTCCCTTATAAACTCCTGGCCTTCACCAACATTAGCAAAATGTAGGCCCAGAGGGTAATGATGATATCTATCTTACAAAATTATTGAGTGACTAAATTAGTTAATACATGTGAAAGTTAATTGTTGCTAACATTTAGCTCCAGTCTCAAAAAGTTTCCTTTTTCATTTTGCCAATCCCTGTTCCTTCCTCTTTGATCACTATTCACTCCTTAGCCTTAAGAATTCTTCCTGCTGTGCCATGAGCCCCCTGCAACACTTGGCATTCTCTCATGACTTCCAGTTTGAAAAACTATTTTTACTTTTGTTTTCATCCTAATTATGTGCATCTTTTTAGCAGCGACTTAAAGACACTCACTACTTTTATACTTTTGCAACTGGTGATGTTACTGCTGTTCATAAAATATCTCAGAACTTTAGCACAAACCTAGCTAACACACCCCTGACTAATGAACAGAGTGTGGCCAAATGCTTGCTTGTGGCCACTAATACCATCTGCTGGTGATAGGTAAAAAGGTTAAAGCCTTTTTCCACCTTGCTTTGTTCATACCTGTGAACTTCCTTAAATGGAAAATTTATAAGTAGAGGTATTTCCATAATGAGGGGTATGGAAGATACAAAGGGAAAAAAAGAGAGTCCTTGCCTTTATATATCTTGTAATTTAATTGGGAAGAAAAGGCACATGCTTATGAAATAGTCAGGGACTCCCAAATTTGTATACGAAAGTGACACTGTAGTAGATGAGGATATTAAGAACCAAAGGGGATTCACAATTTCAGAGGGAATGTTAAGATGAGGTCCTTGAAGAAGTCTACATGAAGTGATGGTTCTTTCTGACTGGCATGGTGAGGGCCTTCTCTTGACGGCTCTCATTCTTCAGGAACAGAGTTTATTCTCAGTTAAGACTTCTTTTATATATCTCAGTAAATGTTAAAAATTCTCTATGTGTAGGTCTTACATGTTTCTTTTTTGGTTTATTTCTAGATATTCTACAATTTTTGTCATTATTATCAACAGGAATGGCTGAATTTTTATCACAGACAGTGAGAGGGACTGTGAGTGGATGCCCAGACATCCAGCCTTCCCTCCTAGGTATCCTAGGCTAACAGCGGGAAGTATCACATTGACCAGACAAGTTGCAGAGTGCCACTGGGAGCCACCTACCTGGAGAGGACTTTATCTATGTTGTTGCCCACGGGCATGCTGGCCAGAGGCAAGGGGTCCTGATGGAGAGCCAATGTCTAGATATTTGATGTAATCCCACCTTGGAAATTAGAAGTTCACATTCTCCCCTTTTTGCTTTGCTTAAAGAAATGCTTTCACGCCTTCAAAAAAAAATGTTTTATTTAAAGTAAAGCATAGGCTAGCTCCCTTCCTGGGGAAAGATATCTAACTGCAAAGGGTAGTCTAAGAGTCAAATTCTTAGTCTAAAATATGAAAATTACAAAGAGTAAAAGGGATGAATTCCCAGTGAAATAGAGACCAAAGAAATCATTGTCAACCTACCAGCTGAAGAAAATTCTTGTCAGAAATTGGCTTTGGACAGGCTCCCTGTCCAAGTCACTTACTTCTCTTCACACTGCCTGTTTTCCTATAAAACAATAATAAATCTGTCACACAGATAAAAAGATCCTAGTGCTGAGATAATGTGATTTGTTGAAACATGCTCATTCACTTTGGGAGGCCGAGGTGGGTGGATTACCTGAGGTCAGGAGTTCAAGACTAGCCTGACCAACATGGTGAAACCCCGTCTCTACAAAAAATACAATAATTAGCCAGGGTGGTGGCAGACACCTGTAATCCCAGCTACTTGGGAGGCTGAGGCAGGAGAATTGCTTGAACCTGGGAGACAGAAGCTGCGGTGAGCCCAGATTGTGCCATTGCACTCCAGCCTGGGTGACAGAGCAGGACTCCGTTTGATTAAAAAAAAAAAAAATACTCATTGACTCAACTGAAGTGTGAGGACTCTTCTGCCATTTGACTTTCTTTTATAAACCTACTCTTATCAGTCTTCCATTTTAAAGAAGAGAAAAACAATTACTCAGATGTCCTAACTATCAAGAGATTTGGAGAAACTATATACATATATGGTTCTTAGCTGGGCATAATTTGAAAGCCTATCTATCTATATCTATCTATCTATCTATATCTATCTATCTATCTATCTATCTATCTATCATTGACTTTCAAATTCTGCCCAACTAGTTCTGCCCCACTAAGAACATGGATTTTTGTGATAATGAAAACTTTCTCTTACAAGCAGAGGGCCAATATTTGCTATAAAGGACTGAGAGAGCTACATTTCATATGTGACTGTAATAACCAACATTTTAGGGGGAAAATGTGATGTTAAGAGTCTTAGAATCCCAGGTGGTAGTGAGGGGATTTCTGGATCCTGAAGGTCAAGTGTTTCCAGAGAAAAAGAGGAATAGAGATTAGGAAACACCTTCTAATGTGGGAGCTCGGGCAGGGAGAGAGTCTACAACTGTGGTAGCTCTATTTAATATGATAATGCATTTCTTTTTCTTTGTGCCCTTTGCGCCTTTGCTGTTTATTAACTGCACCAACTACCAGGAAAAGAGAAGAGGGTGTGGGGGACCAAGATTTAAACCATTCAAACTTCATATTGAAAGTTTGGTTACAGTTGTATTAGAAGAAGGGATAATTAACTTGAGGGGTCTGAGGTCTTTCTCTTTTTCTGGAAACAGGGTTTCACTTTGTTGCCGAGGCTGGAGTGCAGTGGCATGAGCAGGGATCACTGGAGCCTCCACCTCCCAGGCTCAGGCGATCCTCCTGTCTCAGTCCCCCCAAGTAGCCAGGACTACAGGCACGTACCACCATACCCAAGCTAATTTTTGTATTTTTAGTAGAGACAGGGTTTTGCCATGTGTCCAGGCTGGTCTTGAACTCCTGAGCTCAAGGGATCTGCCCACCTCAGCCGCCCAAAGTGTCGGGACTACAGGTGTGAGCCACCACACCCAACTGAAGTCTTTCTCTTCTAATTGTCACCAGCATCTAATGCCTTGCATATACATTTAGGCAAAACATTTACTTTGAAGTGATCCCCCTCAGGTACTCTTTCAGAATCTTTTTACTCTTGAAAATTTAAAGTTCTAATAAGCCCAGTATAAGTCTACATCTAGTCTTAGAATAATAGTAACAGCTTCTAGTTGTTATTTTTTATAATTTCTATAACATTCTTTATCATGTTGATTTTAGTGTATCGAGGACCTACTGTGCACCAGACACTTTTATGTGCATATGAAATTCCTCTTCCTTATCTCTATGCATGGTAGAATCTGAGGCTCTGAGAAGTTGACTTAGTAATATTTTGTAAGTGGTAGAATTGGAATCTGAACCCAACTCTGTCTTGGTCCAAAGTGCATACTCTTTCTACTGAGTTACACTGTCATAGTACTTATAGGGAATAATGTCTTTCTTCTTCCTCCACTTCACCCTATTGCCTGCTTACTTTGCTGGTATATTTTATATTTTACTTCATTTCTGAGTTATTCAGAATAAGAAACTGTGCTTGCTTAATTATGAGTCAGAGCTGTCTCCTGCATAAAACCTTTTAACAACTTCCTCTTGGGAAAAATTGCAACTGTTATTTCAATGCCATGGCCACAGTTACCCTATCTCTTGGTACTTCTGTTTTATACCTCGCTTCCTACTAATGCCATTCCCCGCACACTTCAGGCTATTTCGTGACACTGTGCTTTTGCTCATGTTTCTTTGGCTTAGATCCTCACTCCTCGAAGTGTAGTTCCAGGACCAGCAGCATCAGTGTTACCCAGGAGCTTGTTAGAAAGGTGGAATCTCATGCCCCACTCCAGACCCCAGGTGATTCAAATGCACAGTAATGGTTTTGAGAAGCACTGACTTAGAATGTTCTTATTGTTTTTTACCTAGCCAATTTTTTCTTACATTTTAATTATGTTTTGTTTTGTTTTAGCTCTTGTCACCCAGGCTGAAGTGCAATGGCACAATCTCAGCTCACTGCAACCTCCGCCTCCTAGGTTCAAGCGATTCTCCTGCCTCAGCCTCCCAAGTAGCTAGGACTACAGGCTTGTGCCACCACACCTGGCTGATTTTGTATTTTTTGTAGAGACGGGGTTTCACCATGTTGGCCAGGCTGGTCTCAAACTCCGGACCTCAGGTGATCTGCCCACCTCAGCCTCCCAGAGTGCTGGAATTACAGGCGTGAGCCACCACACCTGGCCAATTTTTTAATTTTTTATTTCAATCGGTTTTTGGGGAACAGGTGGTGTTTGGTGACATGGATAAGTTCTTCAGTGGTGATTTCTGAGATTTTGGTGCACCCATCACCCAAGCAGTGTACACTGTACTTAATGTGTAATCTTTTATCCCTCACCACCCCCCACCCTTTCCCCCAAGTCCCCAAAGTCCAGTGTATCACTCTTATGCCTTTGTGTCCTCATAGCTTAGCATCCACATGAGTGAGAACATACGACGTTTGGTTTTCCATTCCTGGTTACTTCACTTAGAGTAACAGTCTCCAATTCCATCCAGGTTGCTGTGGATGCCATTATTTCTTTCTTTCTTATACCTAGCCAACTCTTATTCATTCTTCAAAACTCACCTTTAAGAAGCTAAGGTCAGTAGTTCTCAAAATATAGTCCAAAGAGTCTTGGTCAGTGGGTCCCCAAGACCCTTTCAGAGGGTCTGTAAGGCCCTCTTGTCCAACTACCATCTGTGTGAGACAGACTTTCTTCATAGACTTCAACCAAAACAACATATTGCAACAGACTGCCTGCAGCATCAGATAGGTGAATCCAGCTGCCTTTCATAAAGCCAGACATCCAGAAGATCTGCAAAGATACCACACAGTGTCATTCTTCACACTAAATATTTTTGTTGCATTGAAAAATACAGTTATTTTTCCTAAAAATATGTAATTTATTTACCATGTAATAGGTTTATTATTTTAATGAATTGATATATTTAATATTAATTTTATATTAACAAATATGCATATATTTTATATGTAATCTTATATATAATTAACATATATTAACATTTGATATTTAATCAATTAATAAAACATTTCCCAGTTTTAATTTCCCATACAGTAAATAGCAATAGCTCTAACCCCATGAACAAAAGGTCTTTGGCATTCTCAATAATTTTTTTTTTTTGACACAAGTTCTCACTCTGTCACCCAGGCTGGAGTGCAGTGGCACACTCATGGCTCACTGTAGCCTCAACCTCCCCAGGCTCGGGTGATCTCCTGCCTCAGCCTCCAGAATAGCTGGGCCCACAGGTGTGTACCACAATGCCTGGCTAATTTTTGTATTTTTTGTAGAGACGCGGTTTTGCCATGTTGCCCAAGCTGGTCTTGAACTCCTGGGCTCAGGTAATCCACTGGCCTTTGGCCTCCCAAAGTGCTGGGATTACAGGCATGAGCCACTGTGCGTGACCTCAAAAATATTTTTTTAATGTAAAAGGGTCCTGAGACCAAAGAGCTTTGGATCCATTTTCCTGGGGTGAATGAAGTGCCCTCCTTAGCAGGTCTGTGATATCATGGGCATAACTCACCGTTATGCTTATCATTTTATATTAAAATAATCTGCTCATAGAGCTCTCTCATTAGACTATAAGCTTCATGAGGACTATGTCCTATTCATCTTTCTATTTACTGAGCCAGTTGAACTACCTAACAACCCCTCCCACTCCCATCAAAAAATAATTGAGGACTAAGGAGTGTGTCTACTACCTAGTTTATAGAGAGCACTAGACAACCTACGGCTGAGACCTACAGCTTTAGCAGGGATGAAGTGTGCATAATGCTGAAGGAAGCAGCACGTGGACATCACCACTCGTGGAGTTTCATCCCCTCAAAGTGTGTTTCACCAGCCTGGAGTTCTGTCTCCCGGGATGAGGCAGGGAAGCTCTGTGAGCACACTGTCCATTCATGCACAATCACGCCAGACGAACAGTAATCTCCAGTATTCATGCTGCCTTCAAAGGCCCGGTGACCCTCAAAGATACAGGGAGAGAACTACCTACAAAGATGTGGATGTTTCAACAGGAGACCCATTTGGCCATGTCTGCTGTCAATAACCTTGGCCAACTCCAGTGTAAGAGGAGGAAGGCATGGGTCTTCCCTACACCAGAATCCCATGTTGTCAGAACAAATTCTACTGCAAGTAGCAGTCTGAGACTTGATGAAGACCTACCTCTGCCCTTTGGACACCCTGACAGCCCCTTGCATGGAAGACATGATAAAGGTAGTCTCCTAAGGGCACACACAGCTCACCTTCTATTCAGAATCCAGCCACAGAATCCTGTCAGTGGTGGCACACAGGATGGAGCAAGGCCCTAGGTAATGCCCCTCTGAAAAATGTTTGCTGCTGGGAGGTACCCATACAGTATTTTTAGCCAATCCAAATATTTTGAACACCTTTATTTTACCAGTGAAAATTCATTTCCCTTATTATAATTACAAATTCTTTAGGGGTGATTGGAGATAAAAATAGTTGAAGCCTTGTCACAGACCTCTGGTACGTGAACTGATTAGCTTGTCAGGTGCTCACTAAGCATACCTGAAATGTGGATTTTTTTATTACAGTACTTCATATGTTAATGAACTGCCTCTAAGGTGAAGAATCTCACACACACACACACACACACACACACACACACACACACACCCCTCTCACCCTATTTATGCTGGAGAATCTTCAAGTAAATCACAAGCAGTATAACAATGTCATTAAGTTCAAATACACATAGTGGAGTGAAAACTAAATGTAGTAGTGTCTCACTACTCAGCTATCTAGTAATTTCATTTAACTGGAATAAACCAAGGACCTGTAAATAAACAAAGAGAACCATTATTAGACACTATATGCCAGAATGATATACATTTTTGCATGGAATCCTCGAAACGCCAAAGCACATGTTCCATCCTGTACCTCCATAGAAAGAGATCTTCGAATCAATGTCATGATCCTCATAATTTTGTACTCTTAGTCTCGGCACGACCGACTCCTTCAGGTCTCACCGAGAGCCCATGTGTTCTTGATTTACACACAAATTGAATAGTCTTAGTTGTCTGGTTTTCAAACCCTTCACAGATAAAGAGAAACAAGTTAGAAGGAGCAAAGAAGCAACTGCTGGTGGCAACACTGACAAACAGAAATGACAGCTGCTCAGGGTAGACCTGAAATTAAGGGATGGGCCAGCAAAATTTAATAAGTAAATATAAGGACCCAGTTCTTACAGTAACTGACTCATATATAATGACTCAGACAAGACCGAGACTCCTACCTCAATCGACCCTCTTGGAAACCAACACAGAGCATCCACTGTTGTTTCTCGAGATCATGCTCATGCCATGAGATACCTCTTAGGCACCACTGCACACTCTCTCTGGACTTCCTCTGTCCTAGGGCATTTGGCCATTTGCTCTGAGCACCTCTCTGTGCACTCCAACTGGCTTTGGTAGGTTCATCCCAACACACCCTCTTCACACCTGCGTGTGTGGGCCTCCTGCCTTGGGACTTCTCTGTTGATGCTGGAGCCTGAGACACCTCTCAGCCTCCAGGTTTGCAATCCAGAAGTTTGCATGTGGTGGAGGGGCTGGGATGAAAGGTGGGAGCTGGTGAGACATTCTTCCCCCAAACATCTCCCAGAGGGAATGTCCTGAGGTTCAGTGGCTCAGATGGCCTCTTGGAAGATGGTCCAGCCCGACTGAGATAGCAAATAGTGGCCAGTGCAGTAACACACTGTCCTGTTAGCTGCCTCACCTCCCCTGCCTCCCACACTCTCTTTTCGTGGACTTGAGCTTTGTTTATAAAATAATAGCACATAAGCTTTTGCCTCGAGTCCTGCCATCTGGGGAACCCAGGTTAAGACATTCCTCACTATCAAGGAAGGTCAAGTTTGTTTCATAAACTGTGATTAAGAGGGCAAAAAAAATGAGTAATGATTTCCATATACAATTTATGTATTTATTTTCTACTCCTCTTACTATCATTCCCAACATAAACAATTTTTTTAAAAGTCCGGGTAATTGAACATGTATATCTTCAACTAGGAAGAAAACTCAGCTACTTAAAATGATTATCTTCCGGAGTTTTTACAGCACGGTTATACTGAAGGGACATCAAATAATGCAATAATCATAGTTGAGAGGAGATCTATCAGGGTAGGCTGTCTGGAGCAAATCAATCTTGAGCTGATTTCTGAAGACTAGAGAGCTTGAGGAGGACAATGCAGCTTGAATACAGGAAGGGACCCACGTAACCTTTAGAGCACATTGTTGTGCACAAGGGTCATATCTTTTACAGGAGAAATGAAGAAGCTGTGTTATATCAGCCTGTTCATTTTTACCCTCAACAAGAAAAATCGTCAGCCCATCTAATCCATTCAGCTACCTCAGCTGATATTGATCATGACGGTGGCTAAAATAACTCCATTGGCTCTTTTCCCAAATGGAGGCTGATTGGCTGCTGGTGTGTAGCTTATTATTGAGTTGTTAAAGAGTTTTGGAGTTAAACTTGCTCCCTTGAATGGGGTGGAGGATTGTACTCTGTCTGTTGTCCTTTCAGCACAAGATCTACATATATGTAGGCTAAAACAATCAGGGGAACACACTTGCACACATACGTGAACACACAGGCACATACACACATGTATACATGCACTACTATCTAGTGTCACTGTCATTCCTTTACAATTTTTGCTACCAAAAAAAGTAGAGATGGCTGAGTGTGGTGGCTCACACCTGTAATCTTAGCACTTTGGGAAGCCAAGATGGGTGGATCACTAGAGGCCAGGAGTTCGAGACCAGCCTGGCCAACATGTTGAAACTCTGTCTCTACTAAAAATACAAAAAAATTAACTGGGCATGGTGGTGCATGCCTGTAATCCCAGCTAATGGGGAGGCTGAGGCAGGAGAATCACTTGAACCCAGGAAGCGGAGGTTGCAGTGACCCGAGATCACACCACTGCACTCCAGCCTGGGTGACAGAGCGAGACTCCGTCTCAAAAGGGGGAAAAAAGCCAAAGCCAGAGAAAAATATCTTTTCTCTGCTGCATTTCAAGGTTCTGAAGAAGATGCTTTTGTGAAGCAGTGGTCTGCCCTCTGCTTCCTCCACAGGGGAGGAGATGCATCCAGAAGATGCAGGCCATGCATCTGGATGATCCAAGTGAAAGGTTTTCTTCTACAGAACGCTTATCATGGAGTAGCACAGGGGAGGAGATGTCAAGACTAATTCAGGGTCAAAGCCAGCTCTAGAGTAGTTCGATTACAACTTTCAGAGAATACTTCAAACAAAGCAATCCTAAGTGCTTTCACTTAAAGACACTGCACACAGGAGAGAGAAAACCCATTTTCAACTTAAACAATTCAAAAAGTTTGGAAGATTTTCGGCGACACTCCACAGAGCTACCCCAAAATGGGCCTCCATTTTCAGATGTGCATCCAAGTGCATCACATATTTCAATTCCCTGTGGGCAATGCCAGAGGAGACAAAGGAAGGGGGAGAGAATGTTCCATGCATTTGCAAACTGTCAGGGCATATCATTTGTCCTCTAAATAAGTGTTTACTAAGCATCCACATGATTTTTCCTTGTCCCCTGCAAGGTGCAAAAATTGTAGGGAAAATGAATTTCTGGCCAGGCTTTAAGTGAAATAAAAATCCAAACATGTTAAGTCAAGATGCCAGGAACAGCTCATCACTCATCATTACAGTGCATTTGTGGGGCTGTAATTTCTTTCTCACCCGTTGTGGTGTTTGCTTCTTTTCACATTTCCTCAGGCTGGCCCCCTTGGAAGTCGGCAGGTCATTTCCCCCCCTTCATGCTCTAATAGATTTCACTCTCAAGATCTCACACACCACCAGCTCTGGACTGCTGTGTTTAGGGTTAGCAAAGCAGTAGGAAAACGCTTGCAGACAGAGAACGGTGATTTCTTTTTCATCCAAAGAAAAATGAGAGTTTGAAGATGCTTATCACACCCAGATTTGGGGAAATAAAAAGAAATCCCAAATCCTTTCTTCTCCACAAAATACATTTTTTGTTTCAAGACTATTCTTAGTGTTTCAGTTCTCTTTATTGATCCAGTTTATTGGAGCTGAAGTAATTGAAAAGTTAGTACCCATATCTGGATTTGTGTTCTGTGACCAAGGCTTACTTGGATTGGGGCGCTGTTGTGTGCAATGGCATTTGATTGTGTAAAAATGGACTCCTTGTCCAGAATTAAATGCTGAGGAACGTCTTCCCAATTGTGGTATTGGTGCGATGAGAATTTGAGAGGGGTGGGTAGTGGAAGGGCTTACAGCATCTGTTGTGGACCTGTCCTTGTCAGTTGTCACCTTCAAGCTATAGAATGCTGCTCTAGAAATAACCTGTAAAGTGAGTTTGACTGCTTTTGCCTTTATGTTTTTGACAAATATTTGGGTCTGTGTTCTCAAATCTGTGGAGGAGAGCCACTCTATTTCTTGGGTCGTTCTTGGGTTGATCCCACCCCTTCCCTCTAGTTCTTCCTCTTTCTTTTGCCTTTTTTTTTTTTCTTGAGACGGTCTCACTCTGTCACCCAGGCTGGAGTGCAGTGGCACAATCTCGGCTCACTGCAATCTCCACCTCCCGGGTTCAAGCGATCCTACTGCCTCAGCCTCTCTAGTACCTGGGACTACAGGTATTCACTTCCACACCTGGCTAGTTTTTGTATTTTTAGTAGAGATGGGGTTTCACCATGTTGGCCAGGCTGCTCTTGAACTCCTGACCTTAAGTGATCCTTCCACCTTGGCCTTCCAAAGTGCCGGAATTACAGGTGTGAGCCACCGGTGCCTGGCCACTCTTTTGCTGTCTTGATGAGTTTAGGCACCTTCTCCTATCCCAGAGTCTGAGTGTTCATAGATAGGCAGAGAGGAAGTCACTCACATTCCAAACCAAGACCGAACCTGTTAGAGTGGTTGTTAATCTTAAATATTGTCAACATTTTACAATAATTGGAAGCTCAGGGAATGACCTAAAAGCTCATGCTCAGAAATTGTTCATTTAAACTGGGGGTAGAAACCCTCACAGTGAAATCTGTTGATACCAGGGATTGGGTCCTGACGAGCAAGAATGTCTTTAATTAAGTTCTTGGCTTTATGTGCACAATCCTACATGGGCACCAGTCCAAGAGGTAAGCATCTTATGAAGAACCCAAAAGCAGTCTGCACAGTTATTGCATGATTGTGGTTTTTGGGAAACCTTGGGATTGTATCGTACTCCTTGCCTTACTGAAATCACTGTAGTGTTTTTATTTTCCTGGGAAACCAAGACTCATCATTTATTAACCAAAATATCATTCAGTTAGTCATTCCACAAATATTTAGGAGTGCTTGTCATGTGGGATTCTCTCTGTGAGACCTTGGAGAGTTGGCCTTTCTGCTGAATTCTGCCAGCCCAGCAGTGTATCCATGTCATAGTTCTGGTTACCTTAGAAGCTGGCTCTGAGATGGAGATTACATTGTAGAAAGTTTACTGGAGCAGGTCCTTGGGATCAATACATGTGGAAGAAGGGGCAGAAGCAAGATGGGTAAAGGGGAGAAGCTGGGCTTTGAACAGTCTCAGTGGAGACATTCGTCAGCCCAGTGGGGACCAGGCCTGGACAACGGGCTTCTCTGGTCAGTCACCGATGTGCAGTCATTAGGGGAGGGGCATGACCTCAGGCAAGGCAGCTCTCCATCAGAGGCAGCACTGTCAGCTACTGGGAGAGTAAGTCCTTTAATCCTAAGTGGGGACCTGGGTGGCACATCACAATGTCCACTACGGTGTGCTAAGATGCTTTTAGCTACTCTACAGAACATCTTGACTCAACTGGCTTCAACAATAGGACATCCTTGCATCTCAAAGTAAGACACCAGGGATAAAGCACCTCCAGGATTGGTTAGTTCAGTGGCTCAACAGCTTATCCAAGGAGCTCTCCATCCATCTGCTCTGTCAGCCTGAAGAGGCAACTTTGCTTCTCAGGCTTCTTCCTTTCATAGTCACAGATGGCTGTTGCCGGACTGGGTGTCACTGCAGGAAAGAGAAATGATTTCTGCCCCTGTGCTCTTTCTATTGTTGAGGAAGATATTTCCTTGTATTTCTCTTTCTTTATTGTGGTGAAATATACAAAAGATAATATTAATCATTGTAACCTCTCATAAGAGTGCAATTCTGTGGCATTAAGTACACTAATGATACTGTATAACCATCACCACTATACAGAAAACTTTGTCATCATTCCCAATAAAAACTCTGTTCTCATGAAATAATAACTTTCTCTTCACCCCCAGCTCCTGGTAATTTCTGTTCTCTTTTCTGTCGCTATGAATTTTCCTGTTGTAGGTGCCTCAAGTATAAGCATACAGTATTTGTCCTTTTTGTCTGGTTTATTTTACTAATCTTAATGTTTTCAAGGCCCATCCATGTTGCAGCATATATGAAAATCTTATTCCTCTTCATGGCTGACTAGCATTCTATTGTATATATGTACAGCATTGTTTGTCTACTCATCCACTGAATAATGTTGCTACCAACATGGGCATACAGATATCTGTTCATGTCCCTGCTTTTTATTCTTTTGGATATATACCTAGGAGTGAAAATCTGGGTCATATGATAACTTGATATTTAACCTTTGGAGAAACCATCAAACCATTTCCTGCAGTGGCTGTGCCACTTCACATTCCTCCATCAGTACCTGAGGAGTCCAGTATTTCTACATCCTTGCTAACATTTACTTCCCTTTTTTAAAGGTATGGCCATCCTTCCCCTCCAGTCTTATTGGCCTCTATCATGTCACATGCCCACTCCTAAATTAATTATTTGCAAAGTGAAGGATATTACCAAAATTGCCTTAAACCAATCAGGACCAGGGCCCTGGGTAGGGTCTACATTACCCTAAAGGACATGGCTGCAAGGAGGACAGTTAGATACCTGAACAAAATCCAGACATTCCAGCCAGAAAGAAAGGATGGGACGAGGAAGAATAAAGGGAAGCTACCATCAATGTTTGCAACAGGGTGGCTTTAAAAATAGAAATGCCCAGACCAGAGATTCTGATTCACTTGGTCTGCAGCAGTGGGTGCTCAGCATCAGTCACTTTTAAATGTTCCCCAATTTATTCTAATGTGCAGTCAGGGCTGCGAGCCCTGATCTAGCAGGTTAGGCTGCCCGTTAAGCCAGCTCGTGTGAATACTGAGAGATGAGAAGGACAACATGCTACAGGAATGCTGTGCAGTGCACCTCGCCTGGGGGACTGATGAAAACCCCTGAGAGGAAGTGATGTTCAGACTGA
Organism: Homo sapiens; assembly: GCF_000001405.40. Classification (NCBI taxonomy): domain Eukaryota; kingdom Metazoa; phylum Chordata; class Mammalia; order Primates; family Hominidae; genus Homo; species Homo sapiens. The sequence goes on along the minus strand of NC_000004.12, from coordinate 82,642,554 downwards.
TGCTTGGAAGAGGCAAGTCAGCCAGGGCTGGGGAAGAGTGTCATAGACACGGGACAGTATGTGGTTCAGTTTAAGAAGAGGAAGAAGCTCATTCTGTCTAGAGTGTACACAGTATCCACTTCAAATCCTGAGGGGACAATATTTTTACTCAAATATATGCAACTTATGGGGCCAGGTCTATGTTCAACACTCCAGCCGCGTTTATCTCTGGGTAAGTTTCCCTCTCTGTGTGCCATGTTCTTGGTTGGCTGAGTGAGCAGCAGGTTATACTAGAGGCATCAGACATTCAGGGTTTAAGAATTGAGTTTGAAACCTGCCCATGCTGTATACAACCGGTGTGGCTGTGGGGAAGGCCCAAGACATCTCTGGACCTCTGCACAGGTCCTGCAAAAGAGGTTATAAAAACTACATCATAGGGCCATTATGGAACTCATAAAAAAAAATGTATGTGAGCAACATCATAAATATGCTGATGAGTTGCAAACTTCTACTCCCGTCCCCATCTCTCTCTAGGGCACATCTCAACTCCAGACCTATATGTTGATATCCTCTACCTGGCAGCCCCATTTGGATGTATATTGGGCATCTCCCTCTTACCGTGTCCAAGACAGAGCTCTTCATATGCCACTCCTCCTCCATTCTCCCCTACATCGGCTTAGGGCATCTTAATCCTTGGTGTCATCCTTGACTCCACTCTTTCTCTCTAACATGGAGTCTGTTAACAAGTCGTGCCACTCTACTTTAGAAATATACCCAGATTCTGACCATTTCTCACCACCTCCATGACTATCCAGGTTCAGGCCACCATATTCTTTAACCTGGATCATGTGACAGCCTCCTATGAGACCCTCCAAACTTGATCCCCCATTATTCCTACTTTATCTCCTACAACCCTCCCTCTTGTTCATCTGCTCCAGCCCCAAGTCTCATGCAGCCCCAGTCTGCATGGCTTCAGGGCCTTGCTATTTGTGGGTACCCCTGCCCCCAGTTAGCCAAATGGCTAACTTCTCACTTCCCCAAGTCTTTAGTCAAAAACCATAGTGTCAGCAAGCCCTCCCATAGACACCCTATTTAAAATTTCAGTGCCTGCCCTTAATATATCATATTCTCCTTCTCTGCTTTTTTTCTTCCTGGTATTTACCACTAATGTGCTCTACAATTTGCTTATTTATATTGTTCATTGTCTTCCCTGCCAGAATATACCAGATATATAGATCTCTGCCAGTATACCCCTGCTCCACAAAGCCAGGGATTATCTGTTTTATTCACCTTCTTTTTTTTTTTTTTTTTTTTTTTTTTTTGAGATGGAGTTTTGCTTCTTCGCCTAGGCTGGAGTGCAATGGCATGATCTTGGCTCACTGCAACCTCTGCCTCCCATGTTCAAGCAATTCTCCTGCCTCAGCCTCCCTGTAGCTGGAATTATAGGCATGAGCCACCACGCCCGGCCTTGTTCACCTTCTGTCTCAGTTCTAGGGCATGTAGTAAGCACCCAATACATTTATTAGCACAGCATTTTACAGAAGAGAAACCTGAGGCTCAGTGTGATTAAATAATTCATTCAAGGTCACACAGCTAGAAGGCGTTGTGTAGTTGAATGTTCTGTGGTGCTTTTCAACAACAGAAAACCCATTTAGCAAAAAGACAGGGCAGCATCAATGACTCCTCTCCAGCCCTCCTCCCTATCACCAAATGACGAAAGGAAATCTCTAAAATGAGGAAGGAGTAGGTGCAAGAGGGCGTCGTGGAGTTGCTCTGTGGCCCCTTGGCCAGACCATTCATGTTTGAGTGTTATTAGATGAGGAAGCTGGGGAGCCATCTCAGTGCTTCTTCTGAAGCACAAAGGCCAGTGACTGTTATTAAAAGGAGACCAGCTGCTCGAGGCTAAAAGTGCACAGGAGGAAGGGATACTCCCTACTTGGGAAAGATTTGCTAAGTCGGCTTGAGATAGTCAGGGAGGATTTTTAGACTGTGTTCAGCATCCAGACCCATCTCACTGGCTATCCTACCCAGACTTACTGTGCCCCCTAAAAATTCCTTCTTTCATCCATTCTACTGAACATACAAAGAGGAATCCTAGCCGATTACAGGGAAGACAATACAGAGAATAACCCCAGAAGTAGATCTCTGCAGCATCATTGGAATGAGGACAGTGATTTTTTTTTAAGAATGTCTTTTTTGAGGAAGAGGCAATGTGCCTGGACCATAGTGGTTCTAGTTGGGGAAGCCCGGGCCTTTTCCTCCTTACCCCTGGGAAACCACATCGCTAGTGCTGTCCGTCCACAGGGACCCACCCACTTGGCAGGGTAGAGCTTCTAGAACCAGAGCCAAGGCAGGCAGGAGACTCTTTAAACAGTTCAGAGGGAGGAGGCAGGAGCAGGGTCTGAGTGGAAGCTGGGTGCTGCAGGCTGTGGTCAGACCAGAGAAGGCCGATTCCACAGGACTGGGGTCAGAGAGCAGGGGTCAGAGAGCAGGAGCCAGAGCGGGCCTCGGCCTCTCCCTGGGAGGCCACGGCACCTCCCTGTGCCTGGGGCCTTCATGACTCGAGGGTGTCTACCCCAAAGCTGCTGCAAGCATTCAGAGAGAGAAGTGCCCAGGGCCCAGCAGAGAGCAAGCCCTCCACACGTGTTTCTCTCCCTCTTCTTTCAGAAGCAAGATGGGGGTGGGGACAGTGGCTCAGAGCAGGACTGGGAGAGGCTCTCTTGAAAGGCCTGGGTTGTAATCCAAAGAGCGGAGGAAGGAGAGGAAGCTGCTGGAGTTGCAAGATGGCTTCTGTTGCCATTGTTCAGTTGTTTGCTTTCCTCCTTAGAGGTGCGGACAAGAAGTAGCAGAGCCAAGGCTCTGGGTGCCTCTTCCATGTTCCCTCCATAGTCCTTTCCTCCTCACATGCTCACCACCAGCTCCCAGGTCCTCAGCCTGTGCAGGGCCTGTGTGCTCCACACAGACGTCCTCTTCAGATGATGCTCCCACGTCTTGGCTGTGGTCCTTTCTGGAAATTGCCCTTGGCCACAGAGAGCTGCCTCGCCCAAGCATTTGCCCTCCCAGGGGCTCCCTGAGGCCAATGCCCAGATGATGCAAGGATAATACCTTTCAATTTCATATAGGTCTTAAGATCATCTGGCCCAGAACGCCCCATCGGATCCACTGAAACTCATTGTGGGTGACCTTCTCCCTCCACCCAGTGCTGCCTTCTTCCCTTACTCGCAGATCATCTGGAGAGAACTCCCTAAGAGCCTTCTGCCCATGACTCTAGAAGGCCACCTCTAAGGCCCTGAGTCCCTTAGTTGTCTTTGGTCTTTGCCCCTCCAAACACAGCCCACTCATTTGACTTCCTAGGCACCCACTATCCACTAAAATGCAGCCATCCTGTATCCCAGTGACTAGAAAATGGGTGCTGATGGGTTAATATGGTGTCCAATAAAAATATTTACCATGATGGGAGCTGACACATGCACAGCTAGCAGTCTGCAAAGCACATTGACGTATGTTTTTTCAGTTGCAAGGCAGAATAGCATGGTGGTTTCTGAAGTGACTCTGCCTGAATTTGAATTTCTGTCCCACCACCTATGAGTCTTGCGACTTTGGGCCAGCTACATAAACTTTCTGTTGCTCTATTTCCCTATCTGTAAAATGGGGATAATAGTCCCTTCTTCAGAGAATGTTTGTTAGAATTAAATGAGTCAATACATATAAAGGTCTCAGAACTGCCCTGGCATATGGTAAGCACATAGTGTGCCTTAGCTGTTAGTATTTGATCCTCACAACAACCCTGTAGTACTACAATTTCTACCTGTGTTGGGTACTTCTCAAGACACTCATATTCTCAGCCCAGCTTTTCACCCCAGCTGTTTGTTCAGCCACCTGCTGGCACGGATGTAACAGCGCCTTGCTGAGCTGTGTGGCTTCTCTTACTTCCTGCTTGAGATGCCTGCAGAGCCCACTTGGCTGTTCTGACCCAAGCAGACCTGGAAGTGTGGGGGAGCTAATATCCCATGTGGCACCCCTTGATGCCAAGGAGGTATTGGAGCCAATGGAAAAACCATCCCTTCTTTTATTCCCTGAGAAGATAATCCAGAGGTATATTGTGACCCATCAAAATCCAAGTTCAGTTGCCCCAGCAGTAGCCACTCCATTAATGCATGCAGTCATGGCCTTCCCCCATTCCCCATTTCCTTGAGCCCATTTGCCCATCCATGCCTGTCAATGGAGCTCACGTCCCAGAGTAAACTGCCCAGACACCGGCCGTTGCCTCGTGGTCTGCTTTTTTTTGGGGGGGCAGGGCAGGGGGCGGGGCATCTAATTGTGCATAGGAGAAGGGTAAAAGAATAAAAAGAGGCATGTCCTAAACACCATGGAATACTATGCAGCCATAAAAGGGAACAAGATCATGTCCTTTGCAGGGACATGGATGGAGCTGGAAGCCATTATCCTCAGCAAATTAACACAGGAACAGAAAACCAAACACCGCATGTTCTCACTTATAAGTGGGAGCTGAACAATGAGAACACACGGACACAGGAAGGGGAACAACACACACTGGGGCCTGTCAGTGGGGCAGGGAGGGGAAAGCATCAGGATAAATAGGCGATGGGTTGACAGGTGCAGCAAACCATCGTGGCACACGTTTCCCTATGTGACAAGCCTGCACGTCCTGCACATGAATCCTGGGACTTAAAAATTTTTAAAAAGAACCATACAGTAGAAGAAAGAAAAAAAAAGAGGCATGTTCAACATATATAATCAGATTTGGACTCAAGTCAGAGTCTTCCACCTACCAAATTTCATGCCCTCACACTGTGCCTGCACTCCCAGTTGATACATATGCATCTTAACAGAGGCCTTCCAGAAGCTTGATTAGGCTGCGGGAGGCCAAGGAGGAACACACTATGAACAGGTAGCTTCAGTTACTTTGATGTTCCTGCCCTTCTCCTGCCCCTGCATAGAGGCAATCCTGCATGGCAAGAGGGCGGTGAGCAGTGGCTCCACTTGGCTGAAGCCTGGGTCAGGGGCTTCACCTAACTTGTCTTTGTATTGCCAGCACTTAGCTCATGCATCAGTAACACTCAGGGTCTGGCACATAGCAGGTACTCAGTAAATGTTTGCTGGGTACATAGGTCCAGAACTCAAACTATGGGTGATTTGCTTCTTAATGATTACTTTCTATGTGGCCATGCCTGTTTCTATACTTATTATTTTTTTGCTGGTTTGGAACGTAATCTCTGATGGACAGAGAACTTGTTTTTGGGTGGAAGATTGTCTACCTTTTTACCAAGGTGAGTTAGTACAGAATTGTGTACCTAAAATTATTTAAGAAGCATTAACTATTTCTCAAAATTATTTGAGAAAACCTGAATATCAGGTTGATTGATGAAAGAAATCTCTAGGTGCTATCTTGAACTGGTGGCCTGTGGGATAAATGTAGCTCTAAGATATATGGGTTGGCCAGCACAGTGTTGATTATACTGAAGTTATTCTGAGGTATGCCACAGGGCCTACCACTTCCTATAGCATTCTACCTGTCCCAACTCTCAAATTTATGTTACCTGCCTAGCCCTTGCAGGTATATGGGTCTTGTGACCCCTACACAACAGGCTTCCACATATAGAAAGCGTTGAAGGAGCTGACTGGCACAGTTCTCTCCCTGGGCTTTTTTCTGACTTTTCCTGTGACTTGCTCAGCCCATCCTCTCTCCCATCAGCGGGTCCTCATGGTGATATGGTGTCTTGCCCTGTAGGTACTATAAGATCTCCGTGGTGCTCATGTGCTTTGTGGTCCCCACGCTGGTGCCCTGGTACATCTGGGGAGAGAGTCTGTGGAATTCCTACTTCTTGGCCTCTATTCTCCGCTATACCATCTCACTCAACATCAGCTGGCTGGTCAACAGCGCCGCCCACATGTATGGAAACCGGCCCTATGACAAGCACATCAGCCCTCGGCAGAACCCACTCGTCGCTCTGGGTGCCATTGGTGAGTAGGGGTGTTGAGGGCCAATGGGGAGAATGGTGGCCCAGGTTTTCTTGGCCTCTCAGTAGTTTTGTGGAATCAGTAAAGAGAAGCAGTGGAGTGGAATGGAGTTCAGTGAACTTGAGCTTTTTTTTTTTTTTTCCGAGATAGAGTCTCACTCTGTTGGCCAGTCTGGAGTGCAGTGGCACGATCTTGGCTGACTGCAGCCTCTGCTTCCTGGGTTCAAGCAATTCTCCTGCCTCAGCCTCCTGAGGAGCTGGGATTACAGGCATCCACCACTATCCCTGGCTAATTTTTGTATTTTTTTTTTTTTTTAGTAGAGATGGGGTTTCACCATGGTGGCCAGGATGGTCTCAAACTCCTGACCCCAAGTGATCTGCCCTCCTTGGCCTGCCAGAGGAGCTTTGGCTTTAGGATCCTGACTCTTGGACAAGTCATGTGATCTCTCTGATTTACAGTTTTCCTATCTGTGAAATGGGACTAGCAATGCTTACGTCACAGGAATATGTAAACTGCTTAGTACAGTGCCTGGCACGTAGTAGGTGATCAGTAACTAGTAGTTATTCACCATGACCATGGAAATGTTCTAAAGGAGAAGCAGCAGTTGACTCTTCTCTCAAACTGTCCTGACCATTCTAGCCTCAGCTGTCCAATCATTTGGCAGAGCTTAAGAAAAAAGGCCTTCAAACAAAGACATGGGAAGGAATGAGACTTGGCATTTCACGGGACCATGAAACAGTTAAGAGTGAGGCCTCTGGAGTCAGCGACTTTGGTTGAGTCCTGGTTCCTCCACTTACTCTCTGGGCAAGTCACTCGTTCTTCTGCCTTTCGTGTCCCTATCTGTAAAGTGGGGGTAATACTAGCACTTACCTCCTCCTGGGTCATTAGAGGGCTAAATGAGTTGATACAGAGTGTTCCTACCAGTGCTTGTATGAAACAAGCCTTCGTGATGTTGCTTTTTTTTTTTTTTTTTTAAGACGGAGTCTCGCTCTGTTGCCAGGCTGGAGTGCAGTGGCGTGATCTTGGCTCACTGCAAGCTCTGCCTCCCAGGTTCACGCCATTCTCCTGCCTCAGCCTCCCGAGTAGCTGGGACTACAGGCACCCACCACCACGCCTGGCTAATTTTTTTGTATTTTTTAGTAGAGACGGGATTTCACCGTGTTAGCCAGGATGGTTTCGATCTCCTGACCTCATGATCCGCCTGCCTCGGCCTCCCAAAGTGCTGGGATTACAGGCGTGAGCCACCGTGCCCGGCCCGTGATGTTGCTTTTATTGCTAGTCATGTGTTCTTAGGCAACTTACTTGTCCCTTCTTTGCATTTATCTCCTCGTTTTAATCATAGCAGGGATAATCATAGCAGTTACTTCAGAGGCCTCAGGCTAAAAGGAGTTAATACCTGTCAAAGCAAGGTGATTAAGAAATATTAGCTCTACCTTTGTAGAAGCAACTCAGACTTCTTGGTAAGCTGAGCCTTGAGCACAGAGATCAAACATAGGAAAGTTCCTACTGTTAAGTAGAAATGGTCTCTGTGTCACTCAGTGATGAGATTCTGCATCACTTCATTAGGGCCATCTGTTTTTCAGACCCCAGGGATCCCAAAGTTCTTGTCAACTTGCACTGATGGCAGCAATAGAAGGTGGAGTGAACACTACATTTAGCCAGGGAATAACTGCATAAGCAGGGAGAAAGTGCCTTGGAAAACAGGAGGGGCAGTGCCCCAACCCTTCCTATGGCTTTCCCCTCCTCTTGCCCTGCATCTTCTGAAAGGACTGTAATGAGGGAAGCCGTGGCCAGTGTTGATTCTGTGAGTAGACAGAAATGGGGACAAGATGGTCCGTCACCATGTAGGGATGGATGGGCCAGGAAACTCAAGCAGTATGGCCATGACATGGGCCCTAAGGAGCTAGGTATTGGTTATAAGTCTATCCAGCTCAACACTGGACTCCCAGACAGTTTGCCTCCCAAAAGTCCTTGGAAAGCTCTTGCCATATCCAGTTGTGCAGTAGAGTGGGGAGTACATCATAATGTCTGTTTCTGAAAATAGGGTGAAGAAACTTTTCCATACCGCTCTTTAATCCAGGAAAAACACTAAAAATGATGGGGGGGGGAGGTGGTGTGCAGGGTAGGGATGGCATAAATTTAAAAGAAAATTGCAGACCACAGATGGATCCATCTTGAGGTACTCGTTATAGAGCGAAATCCTTTAAACATGGTCAGTGGCAGAACTATGTGATGACTAGTAGCCACTTAAGAAGTAAGAAAAGAGTCTGACAGTTTCTCAAACAGTTAAAAATAGTTACTATGTGATCCAGCAACTCCACTCCTACATTTATACCAAAGAGAAATGAAAACATATGTCCACACAAAAACTTGTATATCAATGTTCATAGCAACGTTATTCATAATAGCTAAAAGTGGAAACAACACAAATGTCCATCAACTGATGGATGGATACGTACAATGTTGTACATCCATATAATGAAATACCGTTTGGCAATAAAAAGAATGAAGATCTGATACTTGATACAAAATGAATGAACCTTGAAAACATTTTTTATGTGGAAGAAGCTAGTCACAAAGGACTACATATTGTATGATTTTATTTTTATGAAGTGTCTGAAATAGGCAAATCTACACAGATAGAAAACAGGACTGGGAGGGAGTAGGAGGCGGTTGGGGGTGATGGCTAAGGCATGTGGGTCTTTTTGGAGAGTAATGAAAATGTTGTAAAATTGATTGTGGTGATGGATGCATAACTCTGTGAATATATTAAAAGCCATTAAATTGTATACTTCAAGAGGGTGAATTGTACAGTAAGTGAATTTTATCTCAACAAAGCTGTTTATGAAAATCAAATGAACTAATCCTTAGAGAAATGCAAATTAAAACCACAATGAGATATTACCTCACACTTATTTGAATGACTATTATCAGAAGGATAAAAGATAACAAGTGTTGGTGAGGATGTGAAAAAAGGGAACCCTTGCACACTGTTGGTGAGAATGTAAATTAGTGTAGCCATTATGGAAAACAGTATGGAGGTTGCTCAAAAAAATTAAAAATAGAGCTACCATATGATCTCGCAATCCTACTTCTGGGTATAGATCCAAAGGAAATGAAATCAGGATGTTGAAGAGATATCTATACTCCCATGTTTAAACAGGATTATTCACAGTAGCCAAGATGTGCAATCAAATTAAGTGTCCATCAACAGATGAATGGATAAAGAATATGTATCACATATGCATCATGGAATACTATTCAGCCTTAAAAAAGAGAAAATCCTGTCATTTGCCACAACTTGAATGAACCTGGAGGACATTATGCTAAGTGAAGTAAGCCAGGCACAGAAAGACAAACGCTGCACGATCTCACTTCTATGTGGAATCTAAAAAAGTTGAACGAAGTAGAGCAGAATGGTGGTTACCAGAGGCTGGGGCAGGGGGGTTGTTGAGAGATATTGGTCAAAGGGTACAAATTTTCAGTCTGACTAGAGGAACAAGTTCAAGAGGTCTACTGTAAAACATGGCGATAGTGACTACAGTCAATAACAATGTATTGTATTCTTGAAAATCACTGAGAGAGTAGATTTTAAGTGTTCTTACCACAAAAACATAAGTGTGTGAGGTAATGCACATGTCACTTAGCTCAATTTAACTATTCCAAAATTTATACATATCTCAGAACCCGGTGTTGTACATGATAAATATATACAAATTTTATTTGTCAATTAAAAAATAAGTAAAAGAAATTTAAAAAATCAAATCAGAGAAGCCATGAGAGCTCTCATGAGTACATCTTTTAAAAAAAGTGAGAGAGTCATGCAAATCAAAACCACAATGAGATACCATCTCACACCAGTTAGAATGGCGATCATTAAAAAGTCAGGAAACAACAGGTGCTGGAGAGGATGTGGAGAAATAGGAACACTTTTACACTGTTGGTGGGACTATAAACTAGTTCAACCATTGTGGAAGACAGTGTGGCAATTCCTCAAGGATCTAGAACTAGAAATACCATTTGACCCAGCCATCCCATTACTGGGTATATACCCAAAGGATTGTAAATCATGCTACTATAAAGACACATGCACACGTATGTTTATTGTGGCACTATTAACAATAGCAAAGACTTGGAACCAACCCAAATATCCATCAATGATAGACTGGATTAAAAAAAATGTGGCACATATACACCATGGAATACTATGCAGCCATAAAAAAGGATGAGTTCATGTCGTTTGTGGCAACATGGATGAAGCTAGAAACCATCATTCTGAGCAAACTATCACAAGGACAGAAAACCAAACACCGCATGTTCTCACTCATAGGTGGGAATTGAACAGTGAGAACGCTTGGACACAGGGCGGGGAACATCACACACCGGGGCCTGTCGTGGGGTGGGGGGAGGGGGGAGGGATAGCATTAGGAGAAATACCTAATGTAAATGACCAGTTAATGGGTGCAGCAAACCAACATGGCACATGTATACATATGTAACAAACCTGCACATTGTGCACATGTACCCTAGAACTTAAAGTATAATAAATAATAAAGAAAAGCTACATGAAAAAAAGTGAGAGAGTAAAAGCTGCCCACTGGCCACTGGAAGGGGTAGAATAATATATAAGTACATTCTAGATATTTAAAGATATTTAATTTACTTACCTATTTGAATGATTCTCATTTGTCTCTCTTGAGCTCTTCCAAAAAAGGATTTTTTAATCACTCCAGCCCACAGAGACTATTTTTTAAAAACAGTTGTACATCAAAACGATGATCTGTTATCAGCCATTTAGCATTTACCTTAAGAAGGATAGCTCTGAGGTCATGGTATCATGTCTGCAGTTCACATAGGAAAGTTAATCTTGTGACGATTTATTGCTATTTTTTCTGTTCATATTGTTTGTCTAGCTAACTAAGTCAATGCCTTTGGAGTCAGTAACCAAGTCTTTTGCTCCTCACAGAGGCTGACACCATGTCCTGCACATGGTAAACCCTGAAAAAATAGGTGATTCAAAACATCTATGCAGAGAGGTGGTGATTGAATTATATCAATGCCCGCTTTGTCTTCCAGGTGAAGGCTTCCATAATTACCATCACACCTTTCCCTTTGACTACTCTGCGAGTGAATTTGGCTTAAATTTTAACCCAACCACCTGGTTCATTGATTTCATGTGCTGGCTGGGGCTGGCCACTGACCGCAAACGGGCAACCAAGCCGATGATCGAGGCCCGGAAGGCCAGGACTGGAGACAGCAGTGCTTGAACTTGGAACAGCCATCCCACATGTCTGCCGTTGCAACCTCGGTTCATGGCTTTGGTTACAATAGCTCTCTTGTACATTGGATCGTGGGAGGGGGCAGAGGGTGGGGAAGGAACGAGTCAATGTGGTTTGGGAATGTTTTTGTTTATCTCAAAATAATGTTGAAATACAATTATCAATGAAAAAACTTTCGTTTTTTTTTTTGTTTGTTTTGTTTTTGAGACAGAGTCTCACTCTGTCACCCAGGCTGGAGTGCAGTGGCGCAGTCTCGGCTCACTGCAGCCTCCACCTACCTGGTTCAAGCAATTCTCCTGCCTCAGCCTCCTGAGTAGCTGAGATTACAGGAGCCTGCCACCACACCCAGCTAATTTTTTTGTATTTTTAGTAGAGACAGGGTTTCATCATGTTGGCCAGACTGGCCTCGAATTCCTGACCTCAGGCAATCCACCCGCCTCGGCCTCCCAAAGAGCTGGGATTACAGGCGTGAGCCACCGCACCCTGCCGAAAAAAACTTTTTTTTTTTTGAGACGGAGGCTCGCTCTGTCCCCCAGGCTGGAGTGCAGTGGCGAGATCTCAGCTCACTGCAAGCTCCGCCTCCCGGGTTCACGCCATTCTCCTGCCTCAGCCTCCCGAGTAGCTGGGAGCCAGCGCGCCCAGCCTAAAAAACTTTTCAAGTCAATATTACTACGATTTAACATTAGAGTGTGGACATGTGATTTAATCGCTATAGCTAAAATACGTCAAATATACGTTGTCATGTGCTTGAACATGATGCTAACCCTGACAGGATGAAGGAAAGTAATATTCTTTCAGTGTAGTTCAGGAGAGCATTTGTTTTCTTTTCTACCAATTAACCCATCATTGCTTTTAAACAACCATCTGAAGGAGCAGAGAGGCAGGGTAGAAGACAGAAGGGGGATCTATGTGGTAACTAAAGAATGTTTCTGTTTTGTTAATTATTGTGTGTGTGTGGTTTTATTGTTTGCTTAAGAGAATCAAAAACTGAAAAAAATGAGAATACAGGAAATGGCTCTTGTTTATTTTTTTGCTGTGTTTACAGCTTGTTAATGCTCTACTGTCTTTGTTTCAAGAGAGATTTGTTCACTGCCCAGCTCGTTTTGTGTCCTGAGCCCTATGGCCAGCCCACCTTATAAATCATGCCTGTTTAGATGTTTGATTTTGTTCTGTTTGCTATTGTTATCTTAAAGGTGTATAACTCTGACATGCCAGACATCAAATTAAGCTCAAATTAAGCTCTCGTTTAAATGTTTAAGCACCTAATTTATATTCTAATTGATCCCAGCCACTGATGCATGTACTTTAGCTACTTCTGCTAAATAAGCATATTAATTTTCCACATCAGACCATCAGATCTTGAGAACCAACAGTTATCTAGAATTCCGTGTCTACTAATGTTTCACCTGCATGCAGCCTTCATTAATTTTGTAGCAAAATATAAAGTGATCATTATGTAGCTTCTGGATTAAAAAAATTTGTGTGTGAAGTTGCTTTGTAAAGTGCATGTGGAATTAATGGGACAGTGTGCCCTTTGTGTTAGATGTTAGAGCAAAAGAAAGGGCTTATAGTGTTAGTATTGGAGCACTTTGAAGATAGATATTTTCAGAAAAGATGTAGGATTTAAAAGTTAAATTTTAAATTTTAGAAAAAGATATGATGGCAATTGGAAATAGTCACAATGAAGTTCTTCATCCAGTAGGTGTTTAACAGTGTTATTTTGCCACTGGTAATGTGTAAACTGTGAGTGATTTACAATAAATGATTATGAATTCATTGGTGTTCTTGTCCAGATACTTCAGTGCTGTTTAGAGAATGTTCTTTCCAGAGTGCTTGGTGCCTCATGATGATTGTATGACTCACATTGGGATTTGGGCTCTGGGCTAACAACAGCCCCTGAGACCAGCCCCTGAGACCAGGCCTGTCCTATCCTATCGGCCTTAGGCAACAGCCAGAGGAAGCCAGCAAGTTTTATTTGGAATGTAGAACTCCCAGTGGTATTGTTCCCTGATTCTCACTCACCAGCAGCCACTGGGAGTGCTTATAGATGATAATTGGGAATCTACTCCTATATGTCACCCAAAGGAGCATGAAGGACACCTTCCCCTCTCCAGGCCCCACCAATAGTTACCAGAGGTGGGGGAGATGGACTCCTGTTTTCACTCTAGTCCTGCCTCTCTCAACCTCACCTCTGCACCACCAAAGTCTCCACCCATCTTTTGCCCCAAAGCAGCTGTGGCTGTACTGTCAGGTAGAAGCTTCTTAACGTGTCTGCAGTTGAGTGGGATTCTAGCCATTGATGGGTACCAGGCTAGATCACATCATGTAAGGACCCTTTGGATGTGACCGTAGCATTTTTCAGCTGCTTCATATCCCAGTCACACATTGCTAAGACCTTGTATAGAGCGCAGGTGGAGGGTAGTCACATTCCAAGATAAGTTTGTATCAGCATGATGTGAAATGGCCCTTAATTGGGAATGTATATGTGAACCTTTGACTCCTAAAAGTACTAAACTTACTTACTTGTCCATTAGTCAAAAAGATGACATTTGGAACAGCTATTTGGAATCTTTTTACAAAAGGAGGGTATTTCCCAGCTAGACCAAATAAATCTAGAATCTCCTTCCTCTGAACCTGAGTGCCATCTTTTTTTCTGCAGCAGAGCCATGAATGACCTCGGATTGGAATGATTTGGAGGAAGAGTTGGACAAAGGTTAGATTGCACTAGTGTCTTCCCTGTTAACATTCCTTTCAGGTCTCAGCAGCATCTTAACAGAAAGTAGCTCTGGGAGTTATTTCCCAAACCTATCCAAGGTGGCCTTAGACTGATACATTGTTTGAAAGTTTCAGTTTAAGATAAAAAAATGGTCCCCCCATGTCCAGTCTTTAATCTCCTCATCCTCACAAGGCTTATTTCAGAAGCACCCACCCCTGCATCTAGGTGAAGGGAGCCCAGGGAAAGCAATTCCAATAGCATGTGTCCCACAGGCGTCATGGCAGAGTCATGGAGCCAGCCTGGGACAGTGGAGCCAACTCAAGTTCACCTCGAGTCCCCAACTCTGCTACTGGCCAGCTCTGTGGCCTTGAGAAACGTCAGCCTTTCTGGATTCAGTTTCCTTCTCTGAAAAGAGAGGACTCTTCTCTAAGGTCCCCTTCAGCCCTAACATTCGACCACAGCAACAGAGATGAGTCGGGCGTGTTCTCATATGCCTGACTTCAAATTCGAAACACCTCTCAAGTTAGCACTCATCCTTTCTGGACATAGAAGGTCAAAAATTGGGAGTGGGAGGGAGTAAGTGAATCTGAATGGGAGAACACAGACTGAGGCTGGAAGGATAGAATGTTCTTGGTTTTAAAAAATCTGCATATATTTTGTGCATTCCTAAAATGCAATAAAGCAATTAAATATAACCCATCATGAAAAACAATTTAATGAGAGAAATTATTACAGAAAGCTCTACAGCTTAATGGGGTAGTAGAAATAGCACTGGACTTGGAGTCCTGAGACCTGGATTTGAACTCTAACTCTTGATCTGACTGGCTGTGTTACCTGGGACTCAGGTTAAGGCTGAAATATGACATATGAAATTGTCATTTACTAGCCTGCGGAGCCTCTCTGAGCCTCAGTGTCCTTGTCTACACGACAGGAAGAGCAACATTTATGTGTATTAGATGAATCTGGAAGCCTCATCCCAGTGCCTGGGGCATTGCAGAGCCCTGGGAGACATCAGTTGAGGGTGAGTAGCATGCCCCACACACAAGCCAGAGACTGGGATATGGTGCAGAGAGCCATAGACCAGAAGTGAGCCAGCTTCTGGGCCTGGTTTTGCTAACTAACCAGATGGCTCTAACCTCTGGGAACTTTGGTTTCACTTTCCATAAAGGACCAACTGGATTGGGTTAACCTGTCCAGCTCTGCCGTTCTGGGGAGTCTTTGCAACCGTGTGCCTCCATCAGTTCCAGGCCTCCGCGTGGCCCTCTGCACCCCTGGCCTCCTTACTGTGCCTCGCACCTGTGTCAAAGGACAGGTCTGGCCTGCAATGTCCCTATGCTTCAGTCAGCTCATCAGGACCTGGAATAGATTTGTGGAGGGGAGAGGTTGAAACTCATGGATGAGAGTAAGCATTGGGGATTATCTGTGAGGTTCATTTGTCCATTTCACTCCTGTCCCCAATTACAAAGGGGACTGAAAACCAGTTGTGTTCTCAGTGGCTGAAAGAAATCTCCTAACCTTTATAATCCTTTCTTAAAAAATTTTCCCATTTTTGGCCAGGTGTGGTGGCTCACATCTGTAATCCCAGCACTTTGGGAGGCCGAGGCGGGCAGATCACGAGGTCAGGAGATCGAGACCATCCTGGGTAACAGTGAAACCCCATCTCTACTAAAAATACAAAAAACTAGCCGGGCATGGTGGCAGATGCCTGTAGTCCCAGCTACTCTGGAGGCTGAGGCAGGAGAATTGCTTGAACCCAGAAGGCGGAGCTTGCAGTGAGCCGGATTGCACCACTGCACTCCAGCCTGGGCAACAGAGTGAGACTCTGTCTCAAAAAAAAAAATTCCCATTTTTAGCTTAGGGTGTTAATCAAACTCCTTCCCCTTCCTCTACGTCAAGGATGTGCTATAAATGAACTGGAAACTCCTTTCCTTGTTCCCTCTGCTACTTCCCTGTGGACTGTAGAGTCCGAAGCCCCCATCCCACCCCAAGGATGTTCCTGACTTCTACATTTGCAACATCAGAAGCAGGAGGAGGGAAGGCCTGTCTCAGGGCAACAAGCCCGGCTGTCCCAGCAGCTTCTGTGGGCTCCGACACAGCCTTCTTTCCCTCTCCATTCACCCCCCGACCCCGTGGTGCCACGACTCCCCATCTGGAAGAACAGTCAGCCACATCCTGCCTGTAACTGCTTCACAGGATCCAAAAGGAAAATATCAGCTAACAGCAGCCTGGGCTAGCTGGGGCTGTGAAGACTTTGCCCTGCAAAAGAGTACCCTTCCTTACAGCTGCTGGCCTAGGTTTACTATGGAAAAAAGATGGCATTACCTTCAACCAGCCATCTGAATCCCTCACAACTAGGGATCTACTAATAGCTGCCCTCCTCCCCACTTGTTCTCAATCCTCTATGAGGCAACTCTCAATGTTACCATTGAATCTCAGAAGTTGCTTGCTTGCTTGCTTTCTCTTTCTTTCTTTCTTTCTTTCTTTCCTCTCTCTCTCTCTTTTTCTTTCTTACAAGGTCTCACTCTGTCACCCAGGCTGGAGTGCAGTGGCGCAATCTCAGCTCATTGCAACCTCCCCTCACTGCAACCTCCACCTCCTGGGTTCAAGCAATCCTCCCACCTCAGCCTCCCCAGTAGCTGGGACTACAGGTGCATGCCACGATGCCCGGATTTCTGTTGTTGTTGTTGGGGGTAGAGATGGGGCTTCACCACGTTGGCCAGGCTGGTCTCAAAACTCCTGACCTCAGGTGATCCGCCCGCCTTGGCCTCCCAAAATGTTGGGATTACAGGTGTGAACCACCATGCCCGGCCAGAAGTCTCAGAAGTTGCTTTCTTCTAGAGGTACCAACTGTGAGACAGAGCTGGCAACCCCTGTGCTGTGGGTGGACAAAATGACTGGGCCCACCACAGCAAGGGTGTGTTTGTAGTTTTATGACCAGATTTCACATAAGCCTGTGCTCACAGCACATGTATCGCAAAACACAGGAGCTGTGTGTAAGGGTGCGTTCTTATTCTGAGCTGTGTGGCCAAGCTGCTGCGTGGGGTCGGGGGAGCTCCCTATAAAGTACATGATGTGAGCATTGGTGGAGATGAACTAAGCTAACTGGGATCTCCAATGTCTCAAAGACAGCATGTGTCCCACAGGCGTCATGGCAGACTCATGGAGCCAGCCTGGGACAGTGGAGCCAACTCAAGTTCACCTCAAGTCCCCAGCTCTGCTACCGGCCAGCTCTGTGGCCTTGAGAAACATCAGCCTTTCTGGATTCAGTTTCCTTCTCTGAAAAGTTCCTGACTTCTACTCTGCAACATCAGAAGCAAGAGGAGGGAAGGCCTGTCTCAGGCAATGTAGGCAATATCTTCCAGTTCCAGTAAACAGGTTCTGACACCCGAGGCAGAGGGATAAGGAAGATTCACTTCAGCTCCTTCCTGGCCCTGCAATTGCTGCCCATGAATCCAAGAATGGCTTGATCAGAGCTGACTGAGTGCCTTCTATTTCCTCCTCGGAACTAAAGGGCACTTTCATTTCTAGCATCATAAAGTGCTTATTTCGGATGTGCCAACCAATGAGCACATCTGTCTGCACTGTTGTCCACAGCTCCTGCTAGACTGAACTATTTGCAACACATGGGATCCAAACTCTTTGAGTCAGTGTGTTAGAATGTGCACACAGCTGCACCATGGCCAACCAGTGGACAAAGGATCTCAAAGTGGGTATTTTGGCCTGGATGGTTTCAAATAATTAACAGTGAATATCTTTTTTTTTGAGATGGAGTTTCGCTCTTGTTGCCCAGGCTGGAGTGCAGTGGTACAATCTCGGCTCACCGCAACCTCTGTCTCCTGGGTCCAAGCGATTCTCCTGCCTCAGGCTCTGGAGTAGCTGGGGTTGCAGGCATGCACCACCACACCCAGCTAATTTTGTATTTTTAGTAGAGATGGGGTTTCTCCATGTTGGTCAGGCTGGTCTCGAATTCCCGACCTCAGGTGATCCGCCCGCTTCAGCCTCCCAAGGTGCTGGGATTACAGACGTGAGCCACCATGCCCAGCCAACAGTGAATATCTTGATTTTGCCTCTATGTAGAAAATCTTTAAGCAATGGCCCTTTTCACCACCTTTTCAATCCATTTGAAGCCAGAGGCTTGGGTCAGTCTTAAGACACTGAAATGGACAGGCCTTTTTGACGTAGTTTTGTTTATACATTACCTGATTCTTTGGCCTACCTCTACACCACAGAGGAATATTCGGATTGTTACCTTGTTAGGAGACAAACAGCCAAAGGAAAAATATTGAAACCTCTGTTCCATCATCTATGTATGTAAGAACTAGAACCAGTGACTGCTTTGTTCTCTTCTTCTATTAAAAACTATGGGAATCAGTAGCAAACAAGCTTAGAAAATGCAAGCTTCTGCTTTACCCAAGCAAAAGATATGGCCAGAAGCTATACCAGCGTTATATCCCATAAAAGAAAAAAAACTGGCCAGGCACAGTGGCCATGCCTATAATCCCAGCACTTTGGCAGGCCAAGGCGGGTGGATCACTTGAGGCCAGGAGTTGGAGATCAGCCTGGCCAACATGGTGAAACCCTGGATCTACTAAAAACACAAAAATTAGCTGGGTGTGGTGGTGCGGGCCTGTAATCCCAGCCACCGGAGAGGCTGAGAATGGAGAATCACTTGAACTGGGAGGCAGAAGTTGCAGTGAGCCAAGATGGCGCCACTGCACTCCAGCCTGGGCAACAGAGTGAGACTCCATCTCAAAAAAAAAAAAAAAGAAAAAGAAAAGCAGGGAAGAGGCTCAAGGTCATTGTGCCGAGGGATGCTCAGCTAACCTGCCCCATGTCAAAGCCTTTCTTTATGTAAACAGCTGTAGATTGACATAGAATCATGAAGCTGGTAGATATTCATGGCATGCCATTTGGATGGCTAGATAGTTCTAAACAGTATCACTTTTTGTTTTTGTTTTGCTTTGTATTGTTTTGTTTCTTAAATTTCTATCTAAAAGATGTCCTTAAAATGAGCATTGCTATGTCCAAGAAGTTGCAGCATTATAATTCTTGGAAGTAATAATTTGCTTCAAAGTAAGGTCAGTCACCATCACATGCCATAGTGATTTGTCTGCCAAAGTTCTATGCAGCATACTAGAACTTGGCTGAGCGTGCACGAAGCTCAACTAATTAAAACCTTCTCAACAAACTTGTCTTGGTTAGTTTGTTTGATACAATATCCTTTGTTGTAACATTCAGTCTGGTTGTTTTTCCATTTGCTTTAAATTTAGCATTGCCACATAAAAAAGAGACAGAGAAAATAGGACAGCTTGAAGAGGTGTAAAAATATAATTACTCTTTTGAAAGTATGCATATTTATCTATTTTTTGCTAACCCCCGTCTCACTTGTCTTTCCACTTGGCTAAATAGACGAATGTTCCTGGCTCATGGATATACAGCACTTATGGGTTACTTCTAATTGAGAACATCCCTTACTGCAATTTCTATGCCACTGATTTTAGTACATTTTAAAAATTTCTTTTGCATCAAAAAGGAAATCAAATGAAAGCATATCAGGCTTGAAAGACCACTGGTGGTACTGTAGAACTTCCACAAGCCAATCTGCAAAAACACTTCAAATCTCTGAAATTTTGTTCAACAGGAAGGAAGGAAGGGAGGGAGGAAGGGAGGGACGGAAGGAGGGAGGGAGGGAAGGAAGGAAGGGAGGGAGGGAGGGGGGGAGGGAAGGAAGGAAGGAAGAAAGGAGGGAGATTCATCAAGAAGTATTTTCCCAAACTACACCTAGTTGTGACAATATTTGGCTCAATTTTATAAATCTATTACAGCTGCATCTACAAAACAATATGCTAATAATTCACAACTCATATGTAAGAGCCATGCAGACCATGACTGTCTTCTTCACCAGTGTTTTCCCTGCCCACATGACAAGGCCTGAGAGGTGGGATGTGCTCACTAAAAATTTACTGAATGAATGAATGAGTGAATGAATGGGTAGATGCACTGTACTACAATGCAGAAAGAAAACTCTGCCAGTTCTGGTGGCTCACACCTGTAATCCCAGCACTTCGGGAGGCCAAGTTGGGAGGGTCTCCTGAAGTCAAGAGTTCGAGACCAGCCTGGGCAACATAGCAAGACCCCATCTCTAAAAAACAAAAAAGAAAAGAAAGAAAATTCAATTTAGTATTTCTGTGTCTCATCTTCTGTTTGCCCTGTTAAATATGAAACTGCAGGCAGGCAAGGCCCTCATTTGTCCTGTGCACAGTTGTATCCTAAGCGCCCAGCAGCAAGAGCTTACCATGTAGCAAGACCTCCAAAATTTTTGCTGAACTGTTGGCGTTTATGAATATGGATAGGCCCTTCTCTTGGAAAATTGTTGACCCAAGCCTGGCACGGTGGCTCACGCCTGTAATCCCAGCACTTTGGGAGGCCAAGGAGGGCAGATCACCTGAAGTTGGGAGTTCGAGACCAGCCTCACCAACCTGGAGAAACCCCATCTCTACTAAAAATACAAAATTAGCCAGGCGTGGCGGCTCGTATCTGTAATCCCAGCTACTCAGGATGCTGAGGCAGGAGAATCGCTTGAACCTGGGAGGCAGAGGTTGCGGTGAGTCGAGATTGTGCCATTGCACTCCAGCCTGGGCAACAAGAGTGAAACTCCATCTCAAAAAAAAAAAAAGAAAAGAAAAGAAAAGAAAATTGTTGACCCAGAAATCTGAACTTACAAAAGTAAATAAATTAGAAGACAATTCTGAATTTTACAAAGTATTTATTACGGGTTTCCTTTCATAAGCAGGCCTTGAAAACATGCCTTAACTTTAAAGTCTTCATGTAACTTTTATGAAGAACATGTGCCATAGGATGCAAGATACAGCTGACTGCCAGGACTGTGCAATCACAGAGCCATTTCCAGACGGTCAGAGTTAGAAGGCTGCGCCTCCCTGCCACTAGGTCAACCACTAGGCCACAAGCAAAAGACTCGGCTAAGGAGTGAAACAGGCAATGGCAATGTTATGGGCTGGATTTTGTCCCCTCAAATTCTTATGCTGAAGTCCTAACCCTCTAGTACCTCAGAATGTGACTAGAGATAAGGTCTTCAAAGAGGTAATTAAGTTAAAAAGAGTTCATTAGGATGGGCGCTAATCCAATCTGACAGGTGACCTCACAAGAAAAGGAGATTAGGGTACAGATACACACACAGGGAAGAATGCATGAAGTCCCTGGGATAAGGCAGCCATTTACAAGCCAAGGGAAAGGCCTCAGAAGAAACCAGTCTTGCCGACAGCATGATCTCTCATCCTCAGAACTGGGAGGAAATACATCTGTGTTGTTTCAGCCACTCAGTTGGTGATCTCTATTACAGCAGTCCTTAGCAAACCGATTTAGACAGGTAAGTGGAAATGTCTTCCTTTAGACTCCCTTCTACTGTTTTACAGACTAGAAGGATAATATAGAAGTGTCCAAGTTCCAGGCGAGACTATCAGAAGGCAAAAGCAAACGCTGCCTCCTGCTCTTTCCCCTCCGCCCCACCCACTCCGCCACCCTGTAATTGTCATCTCGGCTGGGTCTCTGTCTCCATTGTGCCCTGAATTAATTCTCCCTGGATGCGAGGTGGTGGTGATTCCACAGAGAGAGCTGCCTTACAGATCAGCATCACGTCAGTGTCCCAACAGAAAACAACACTGGAAAATTATTTGCCTTTCCTTTTAACAATCAACAAGAATTCACTTAGCTCCCACTGTGGTGAAGTCAGGGGACCGAACCTAGCAGGGAGATGGGTATAGTTTCTGACCCTTAGGAAGGAAACCCATCTCCCTTCTCATTGTCCAAATACACTCACGTCATTTGGACATTTTTCAGCAATTACTTTTGCAAACGTTGTAGAAAAATAAGTGACTTAGTAAGTCCTGAGCCTTCACTTAAGAAATTGGCCTGGGCCTTACTGAATAGGGGGTAGAAGAGGGAAATGGTCCATGTGTACTCTTTTATAGACAAAAAAAGTTACATTCTTTCACTGAAAAAAGGCCAACCATCATCAAAACAATTTAATACATTCTACCTCTTTAATAGAAGCTCAAATCAAATGTCTCACTCAGTCAAACTGAGTTAGGAGAGAAGCCATCTGCCGGCTCCCAGTTCAGCTCCAGCAGGACTGTTTTGAACACCATCGGCTGAGTCCTGTTCGTATCACTAAAAAATTATCTTAACTGCTCGCTGCAAAAAGTAATTTGCCCAGCATTGTCCATTCCTCGGAAGCAGAACTAATGTTTCCTGTGGCTGTGAATGGCTGTGAAACAGCATCACAAGATAAATGCCTACAGGCAGCTGGAGAAAGTGAGCTGCCATCAGAGAGGAGTCCTCTGACAGAAGTGGTGAGACCTAAGGGTCACATGCAAGGATAGCCACAGGCCACTCTGCAAATCAATAATCAAGACCCTGAAAGAGGGGCAGTTCTGGGAAGTTTGGGCTGCATAGGCAGGTGCATAAGGAGCCTCAGGAATGCTGCTGGATTCAGACTCTGGTCCCTGTGTCACCTCTCACCCTCATGTATAAGGCCCAGGAAAGTAGAATGTGGTGTGTGTGCATGTGTGTGGTGTATGCGAGTGGGCACTCCGTTTCTGAAGTGTCTCCTACCTTTCCCCCTTCCCTCCTCTCCCCTCCTCTCCTCTTCTCTCTCTCTCTCTCTCTCTCTCTCTCTCTCTCTCTCTCTCTCTCTCTCTCTTTCTCTCTCTGTCTGTCTGTCTCTGCACTCATTCCTAAGGCCCCTGATTTGGCAGTGGAGCTACTGACGGGTGGAGAGAGATCCTTTGTTAGCTGGGCAGTGACTCTGGGGTGCAGACAGCTGGGGAGAAGCTTGACAAGACAAAGAAACATCTCTGCCTGTCTCAGGCCTTCCCCACCACTGGATTCTCTCTCCCTGGGAGACTTTGCTCCTTCTCCAAGGCTGCCCTGGTGTGCCGCCTGTGTTTGCTGAGCCCCTCCACCCTGCTGAACACCCTGGGAGGCTGATGGGCATGCATTATACCAACAAGCTGTTCCGGATGAAGAATGGGGAGCATTGGCAGGATGGAGGGAGGAGGGTGAGGCGCAGGTGCTTACTCCCCGACTCCCTCCCTTCAGGGAGGCTGCATCCCCACCTGACAGTCTGTACTCAGGGCTGATGAGGTCAGTGGGGCCCCTCTCTTCCTAGTCTGCTCTGTGGCTGTGGGTGCTCTACCCGCTACCTGTGCATTCGGGAGGATCCCACGTGGCAGCCATGGAGGTGCACCTCTCAGATCTTCTTGCATGAAAGAACTTGCCATTCAGCTGCAAGGCTGCAGTGAATTGACTGCCTTCAACCTTCAAGATCAATTTTATGGTTGTTCTTGCTGCTGCTGCTGCTGCTGCTGCTTGCCACGCTCTTTCCGAACAGCCCCAGCTAATGACTGAATATGATGGGGATACAAGGGCCGGGGGTCCTGACCATTTCTGTGTGACAACAGAGACTCCTCTAACTGGCTGTCTTTGCTCCTGCTCCTGACTGGGTTGGTTAAGACTCAGTCAGATCAGACTCATGCTCTGAGCTTCCCTGGCCCAGTCCTGCTTTGACCCTTCTTTTTTATTACAGGTGATTTGCATCAAGACTGAAGGTTTTCCCTGTTCATTCCTACTTCCTGCTTCTTTTATCTTCCATAGACATAACCCCTAATAAATCCTAACTTCTAACTAACTCCACACTCCTAACTGCATCCCAGCATCTACTTCCCAGAGAATCCAGCTAGCACATGGTTTGATTAAACTCTACTCAAATCACCCAATTCGATGGTACCGTCTTTCCCATCAGGCCCCTGACTGATGCACCTTGACATTCATTTAGTGAAATTCCACATGGGTTAACATATTGACTTGGGGAGAAGACTCTCCTGAACCCTCCCAGGCTGCCCTGTTATGTTTGTGGACAAAGAAGAATGGAACTCCTGGACCATAGTTCCTGTGGGTTCCTGGCTTCCCTACCAGCCTTCCTCATCACCCACATCCAGACTCCCAGCCAGTTCCTCCAGGCTTGTAATGGGATCCTGAGATAACAGGCAATGCTGGAGAAAGGGGGAGAGGCTGCTGGACTGTGGGAAATGAGCAGTGACAGTAATGAGAACCACATGTCTCAACAGAAGCTTAGAAAAGCACATTTAATCCTAATCAATCAGAAGAAAATGTCCAAAGTCACCGAAGCAGTGAGGCAAAAATAGTATTGAGAAGGTTCAAAGTCTACTCAGAACCCCTGGAATCCAAACTTGTCACTCACTGGGAACTGGGCTTACTGGCCTTCCCAGGCCTGATGTGTGCTCTGAAGAGGAGAAGATTAAGAAGCGTGCTCTCTGCAGGCAGGATGGCTGTGAATTGCTTGGCTTAGGACATGGGATGTCTAATGCACTTTTGGGAAATATCTAGGTTGGTAATTCCCAAATCTATTTTTACAAAACCTTGAGAATTTTATAATTCTCACCAAGATGAGATGGGTGCCACAAAATCCTAAAAACTAAACTGACTTAGTTATAAAAACTGAGTATGTCATAGAGAGTAGGAAGACAGAGCCTGCGTTTTTGAGGGCTCTTCTAATTTCAAAAATGCTGGCCTGTTAACAAAAAATGTACTTATTATCAAATAGTATATCTTCTTTGAGGTTCAGAAAATTGGGTCCTATTGTCCATGCAGCATTTTTAGGATAGGTAAAAAGATGGGGGAAGGAGAAGTATGACTGAACTTGAAGTTCTCAAACTTCAAAAATGCTAAGATTCATTCCATTCATATCAGTTCTTTGTTCTTTCATGTAACACATGAAACTTAATGATCTTCACTTAATGTCCCCCACCCCCAAATCCTTAGAGTTGTCATGATTTGTTGATTTGAGGGGGGAACATAGGGAAATGCCAAGTGGGGCAGAAACAGCTCCAGTCCTCAGACAGCAAGGCGAACCCTAATTACCAGGCACCTTGGCCCAGGCAGCTTTCAGACTCTGAGCCCCTTCACCTGGGAGCTTGTTTCTCACCTTCAGATGGAGCTGAACTGTAACCGTAACTGTATTTGAGTCAGGATCCACATTTGTGACAAGGACTCATTCCTACCTTATGCAAATTTGTCCCTGAACAGCAGCAAAAACTTAGGAAATCTGCAGGCTGCACTGATCTTCCCCCCCCCCGCCCCCACTCCCCTCCCATGGAACCTGGGCCTGACACGGCAGGAGGCTCTGTCAGGGGCTGAAACGTTGGTGCAAGCCATTCCCTCCATACTTCTGCTCTCTGCAGTCTTTAGCCACCTCCCCAAAGGCAACGCTCCACTCCCTACTCGCCCTCGCCTCTCTGCTCGCCTCAGTGTTCTTTTGTAATTTATTTCCTCTGACTCTTTCCTTCACTGAATAGAGCTCCCCTGTCCATTTTCATTGGTTTCTAAACTCCCATTGGAAACAAACACTTTATTTCAGCCTTCCAGGATAGAAGCTGCTCCACTCCATCACCCCACAATCATTAGGGCCAGTGAGGGGAGATAAATACTCTCCTACTGGCCATTTCTCATTGGTATTTCCAATCCAGCACGTCTCCACTCTCAGGCGAGAACCTCTGCCCTTTGGCCCTCCTCCCCTGACGTGTACACGTTCACATACATGCCATTTTCTTCTTGTTCCTCTCACCCTTAGCCTCCAAAACATTCCCCCTTAGACACTATGCATCTTTCCATCTGACTTATATACATTCTGTCTACCTCAACCTCCAGGAGATAGTTATGTCTGTATGAACAATTTATCTCTACCAGTTAGAATTGGTTTGACTGTACATGAAATACCCAGCAAAGTGGCTTAAATAATACAAACCCTCTCATATAGTCGAATCAGGGCTAGAATGGTGACTCCATGTTGTTTAAGGACCCCTGTCTTTTTGCTCCATCATCCTAGCCTTGGTTTCCATCCTTAAAGTGGTTCATGGTCCAAACTGGCTGAAAGGCTGGAAGAAGAAAGGAGAAGAAATGGCAAATGGGCACACCTTCTAGGTGACTGCTCACTTTTTTTCCTTGTGTCCCCCCCCTTCCCTAGCCAGTGATTTTTACTTACACATACTTGGCCACCCCTAACTGCAAAGAAAGCTGAGAATTGTCAGCTGGGTCCGCTGCTGTTCTGAATAAAAGCAGGGTTCTATTAGTAATGAACAGGCAACTAATATTACTGCATGGTAGTTCCAGACCAGTGTCATTGACCTTCGTCTCTCCTCCAGCAACCTATTCCTACAGCCATTCTCTGAACTCTGCTCCCCGAAACCCTTTTACATCCTGATCTGTCTAATCTGCTCTCCAGCCCTCGCCGCCAACCCTTGCAATTCCCGTGCTCTCATTCCCTGTACGTCTATTCTTCCATCACATGGAGAAACCACACTGAGTCCCTTCAGCCTTCCATTTTCCCCCACTTATAAGATGTGGTATCCATTTGGGTCCCCTGAGAGGCAGACACCAAGCAGGAACTCTATGTTCAAGAGGTTTGTTGAGGGAAATGCCTGTGAGGACAAAGGGCGAGGGAGCAGGGGTAATTAGGAGAAGGCTTTAACCATGGTGCAGGTCTACCTCTGCGGAAGGAGAGCGGGAAGGGAAGGAGGGATTGAATGGGAAGAGCCTCAGACCTCAGCAGAAGTTCAAGAAAATCTCAGTCAGGTCTCTGGAGAGTCCCTGAGCCAAAATGTCCCATTAGAGGAATGCCGTGTTGGGCAGAACTGGCCCAGATCCAATGCTCCCTCTGTGTTCCACATGTGGCCCTTCTACCACCACCGTGTTTTACCTACATCCCTGATCATCCACACACCTCTCCTACAGTCTCAGCAGAGGCTCTCTTGCCTTCCTGCCTGTGTCCTTGATTGCCTGCATCCTATTTGCTCCAGGTCCTTGCTTCATTAACTAGTCCATTTGCTCCTACTTCTTTCACTCTCTCAGGAAGGGTAACAGCAGGCAGATGCAACAGTGCAATGGGCTCAGGGAATGACAAGGGAATGACGGCTGGAGCAAAATGTGGGAGGTACATAATAAATGCTCAATAAATATTTATTGAATGAATAAACACATATTTTGTCTCTTCCAGAAGACCTCAAGCTTTTTGACTATGTCACATTCATCTCTATATTCTACCTAATAACTCACAGGTATTAATACAAAGTTGTCATGCTAGGAAAGTCGAACTACTAATTTCTTACTGTATTAGAAACAAAATTATTTTTCCAAATACCTCATTTCACTGACTGCCTGCTATGGAACGTATCAGAAAATAGGTGCTTAATGAATAAATGTTTGTGTAGTTAAGCTGAATGGGAAATAAATCTTTCACTCTCTGGGTATCACATGCATATTAATGGCATTGGACAAAGGGAAATGAACAGCGGGAAGCCATGATTTATCCTCCCAAACCTCTTGTCTACCTCTAGTATATCCACCTTTCAATACTTTATGATCTTGAACTGATCTTATCTATCCCATAAATACTTTATGTCAGAACTGATTGTAACCAACAGGATATTACAGAACTGCATGTCATCAGATCGCACTGTTTCTCTCTTTGGATGATGATATTCAGGGCTTTGGATGCCAACCAGAAGAAGCTGTAGGAATTGGCACAGATCCAGAGCATGGACAAGGACTTACACTTCTGCTGAAGGCAAAGGAGAAACAGCATTATCTAAAAAGCAACCAAGACTTCAGGGGTGAGCAGTAAACGGGGCCAGAGTCAGGGACCCCTCTCCCTCAAACATGGAATAAGGAACACTTTTCAGAATCGAACTATAGAAATGCATCCTGCAAGGGTGGAACCAAAAGATTCTTTCAATCAAATATCAGGGAATAGTTTTGGGTGAAATCAGGCCCCATTTGTGTGTAAAGTTGCTATAGACACTCTACAAGATATTAGTATATCAGGCTGAGCACAGTGGCTCACTCCTGTAATCCCAGCACCTTAGGAAGCCAAGGCAAGTGGATCACTTGAGGTGAGGAGTTCGAGACAAGCCTGGCCAACATGGTGAGACCCCATCTCTACTAAAAATACAAAAATTATCCAGGCATGGTGGCGCATGCCTGTAGTTCCAGCTACTCAGGAGGCTGAGGCATAAGAATCTCTTGAACCTGGGAGGCGGAGGTTGCAGTGAGCCAATATCGTGCCACTGCACTCCGGCCTGGGCTGCAGAGCAATACTCAGTCTAAAAAAAAAAAAAAAAAAAAACAGTTATTAGTGTATCCAAAGAGGGAAAGACAAAAGGAGATTCATCAGAGGGAAGGTGGACAACATGAACTACAGGTTCTGCTATGCGGATCTTGTATTGTCTGTGCGTTGTACGTACACTAGCCCGTGTCTTCCTTCTGCAGTCCCAGGGGCCATACTCCTATCCTAGATGTCCCTCATCAGACTCTCAGAAACTAATGCCAGTGGATATGTGGACTGTCATTTCCCTTACTCTGATTCATGCTCAGCATGCACTCTTGTCATTATAATTTGATTTCTCCTATAGGATGAGAACCCACTAACTATTACAGTCCACGTGTCAGTCGCGTTTCTCATCGTGATTAACACCCCAGCCATTGATTTGCTCTTCAGTGTCTAGTGAGCAAGGCTACTGTGAATCTTTCCTCAGGAGGACTGATGGAGTCACATTTCTGAGCCTACAGAGCTGAGGGCAAGACCTGAGAATGGTGATGTCAAAATGCCAACCAGCGAGACCTCTTGGTGGCCAGGTATTCAGCCAGCCTTTTCTTGGGCCATTCCACAATCTTGATTGAGACTTTTTAAGATGTCACCTTGAGATAAGCTGTGTGAATATCCAATTTAAAAAGGTGCAGAAGGATACTCTGTGTGTATATATGTGTGTGTGTGCATGCATGCGTGCTTGTGTGTATACATGCATACATGTCCAGATAATTGTAGCTTCTTAACAACATTAGGAACCTCAAATAGAATAGTTGTGATGGTTAATATGAGGTGTCAAGTTGATTGGATAGAGGTATGCCTGGATGGCTGGTGAAGGATGGTTTCTGGGTGTCCCTGAGGCTGTTGCCAGAGGAGATTGACAAATGAGTCTGTGGACTGGGAGAGGAAGATCTACCCTCAGTGTGGGTGGGCACCATCCAATCACCTGCCAGTGTGGCTAGAACAAGGTAGGTGGGAGAAGGTGGGATCGGTTTGCTTGCTGAGTCTTCTGGCTCTTTCTTCTTCCCCTGCCAGGTGCTTGCTTGTGCTCCTCCTGTGCTTGGACATCAGACTCCAGGTTCTTCAACCTTTGGACTCTGGGACTTGCACCAGCGGCTTCCCAAGGGTTCTCAGGCCTTAAGCCACAGACTGACGACTGTACTGTCAGCTTCCCTGGTTTTGAGGCTTTTGGACTTGGACTGAGCCACTACTGGCATCTCTCTTTCCCAGCTTGCAGACAGTCTATCATGGGACTTTGCCTTGTAATTGTGCTAGCCAATTCTTCCTAATAAACTTCCTTTTATATATGCATATATCTTATTTGTTCTGTCCCTCTGGAGAACCCTAATACAGAAGTCAATTCAACCTGATCTATCACATGATCTTTCATTAAAGTTACACCTTTTATTACTAGAGGCTCCTCAAAGTAAATGTTGGGTGAATGAGTGGGATGGATGGAGAATGGAGAATGGATGGATGGAACGAAAACAAAGCTATTTAGTTTTGGCTTTGAATTTAATAGCTCAAGGGTATTAGTACAAGTTGCTGAGCTAGGAAAGATAATCTACTAATTTCTTACAGTATTGGAAACAAAATTATTTTTCCAAGTGCCTCATTTCATTTAAATGGTGACTTTAGAGAATAGCTAAATTTAAAATAGAGCCAAATAATAGACTACCACAGATTTTCCCTAAACAAAACAAATGAGAAATTATCTGTTTAAAACCCTTATACTGGAAGACAGTGGCTTAAGCAAAGGAAAATCTGAAAGCTGTGTTGAAGCATTTAAAGATTCAAACAGAGAGGGTGAGGATTCTCTTAATCCATGAGTCTTATGTTGCTATCTGTAGGGAAATGGAGGCTATGTATAATACTTAGACCTCAATTCACATCTTCACAGAATTGAAAGTCTAGGCAGTATTTATGACTCACACTTTTAGTAGGACGTTATTTTAAACCCACATATAAAAGTATCTGGGGGTGGTAAATTGTACTCAATATTAGTGAATTTTGTTAGGAGGCACATCAATTAAGATCCAGTTGGAGAACAAAATGACAGCCACATTTTTTTCAATTCTTCACCACAAGCTACAAAAAAATTTCTTCAAGTCACCAAGTGACTGATGATCATTCATATTAATCAACATAAAACTATAATAAGCTACAGAAAAGCCTACCACACACCCATGCTGTGGAGTCGGGGACCCGCCGAATGAACTGGCAGAAGAGCCACGTTGTACAGGTTTCCTTGACAACTGTTCCCATAGAGCCAGTGTTCAAAGAAAGGTTTGAGCAAAGCAACTAGAAAGACTAATTGGTAATCATGCTCCAATATCTAAAGTGGTATTGAGATTCGATGATATTGTGTGAGCTACTTCTAAATTTTGGTGAGTGTGTTTTCTCCTTTTTCTCCTTTCACTGTTATTTTTAGTGGAATTTCTCTTTCGTTTGTTTCATTCCAAAATTAGAAACCCCTTTTATAAAAGGATAACAACCACAGTTAAATTGCTACCTTGGAAAATATAACCTATAAAATAATTTTGTCTCATTTAAAAAAATTTTTTCTGAGATAGGGTCTCACTCTGTCACACAGGCTGGATGTAGCGGAGTGGTGTGATCATAGCTCACCGCAGCTTCCAGCTCCTTGGCTCAAGTGATCCTCCCTCTTCAGCCTTCTGAGCAGCTGGTACTACAGGCATGCATAACCACACCTAAAAGAATAGCACCATGCTAATTTTTTATTGTTTGTAGAGACAAGGCCTCATTATGTTGTCCATGCCGGCCTTGAACTCCTGGCCTCAAGAGATCCTCCCATCTCAGCCTCACAAAGCACTGGGATTACAGGCTTGAGCCACTGCACCCGGCCCCTTTCTCATTTGATCCAACAATCTCACTAAAGGGGCAGCAGCTGAGCCACACAAAGGTGAATATAGATGGAAGGTAGTTCTTAGAGATTTAATCATAGCTTTTTATAAAGTGTCCTTGTGGATGTAGGTCTGAGGCTCACCCCAACAGTCCTAGTGTGCTGCCAAACACTAGGATGTTAATTCATAGCCCAAACTGTCATGAAAATGCAAGGGCACTCTGAGAAAGAGAAGGCACAATTCCACTGTGTCACCCTCTTTCCCTTTTGCTGGCAGAAGAGAGACATCTTGGCAAGAAATTCCAGGTGAGAAAGGAAACCTGTCTGCAAACAGTGAAAAATTTGAAAAGGGCTGGGGATGGAGGAGTGAACACAATGGGATAAACAAACCGAAAAAAACACCCCATTATGTCGGAATAAAAGAAACCTGTGAGGTGTTCAAACAGCATTACTAAGCCAATTCTGGTCATCCAAATAAGAGAAATCAGAAATGCAATTACTCCAACCCTGAAGAGTAAATACATAAAATAAGAAGCCGAAGCAAAAGCAATCAGAATAAAGACTGAAATTCATCAAAGCCCCTTAAGAAAAATTGCCTTTTTCTTTTCTTATTTTCTTGGTGATATTTTAGATGCCTTTTCCCAAATGTGCAATTATCACAGCAGAGTGAAGTAAAAAATGAAATTGCAGTGTACATATACTAGAGTGGATGAAGGTAAATGCACAGATTGAGGGCTGTCAGCAGTGGCTGGGCACAAACTTGGTCAGCCACCTGTGTGACCTCTAGTGCAGAAAATCCTGCAAGTCCTTGAGATGCTGGGCCTAAGAAAGGCACTTATGAATTATTTCATCTTAAGTAAAACAAACAACTGGGCCAGGTGCAGCGGCTCACACCTGTAATCTCAGCACTTTGGGAGGCCGAGGCGGGTGAACATTTGACTCCAGGAGTTCGAGACCAGCCTAGCCAACATGGTTAAACCCCGTGTCTACTGAAAACGCAAAAATTAACCAGGCATGGTGGCACATGCCTGTAATCCCAGCTACTGGGGAGGCTGAGCCAGGAGAATCACTTGAACCCTGGAGACGGAGGTTGCAGTGAGCCGAGATTGCACTACTGCACTCCAGCCTGGGTGACAGAATGAGACCCTGTCTCAAAAAAAAGAAAAAGAAAAACAAACAAACAACTGCTCCCCAATTTCAGCAACAAAATGACAGCAAATCTACTAGAAGTTATACTCCTCTCGTTGCAGGAAGAAGAAGTGGAATGGCTAGGGTGGTGAGCCACTCCCATGTGATTTGACCCTGTCACTTACATAAGGTGGTTTGGTATGATGATTGGACATGTCTTCATACAATCGCCAAGGTCAGCCTGGCTGCTCAGCTGTCATGTTGTCCCTATCTCAGCCAGAGGCACTTTCTCCTGATCTGAATAGTAGGATTTGTATATAGAAACAGATTCCAGCTCACAACCCCTTCCCTCTAAGAGAGGGATTCTCAACTCCAAGGCATATCTTGTGTCAGTCACTACAGGAAATTATTTATTCCCTCAAAGAGAAAGAATTAGAATTAACTTTTGTTTTTAACTAAGCAACTAAGTAGCACAGCCTTAGCCATGGCATTGACACCACTCTGTGAATTTTGAAGTATTATGATTTGTGTATTCTTATTTATTGCTTTCATTAATTGTAAACTTTTTTTTTTTTTTTGAGATGGAGTCTTGCTCTGTTCCCAGGCTGGAGTGCTGTGGTGTGATCTTGGCTCACTGCAACCTCCACCTTCTGGGCTCAAGTGATTCTCCTGCCTCAGCCTCCCGAGCAGCTGGGACTACAGGCGCCCGCCACCACACCCAGCTAATTTTTGTATTTTTTGGTGGAGACGGGGTTTCACCATGTTGCCCAGGCTGGCCTCGAACTCCTGATCTCAAGTGATACTCCTGTCTTGGCCTCCCAGAGTGCTGGGATTACAGGTGTGAGCCACCGGGCCCGGCCAATTGTAAACTTCTTAAGCCCAAAGTGTATGTGTGGGTGGAGGGGGTGAATCTTCTATTTCTCTTAATCTGTCCGGCAGTCAGGAATTTAGTCAACAAATACATCTAGATGACTGCCTGTGTGCCGGATGCCCATTCAGCATGGTGGAGAAGATAGACTTCACACCGGAGCAGGGAGTGTTAGGAAGGAGGAGCAGGCAGGGCCCAGGGCTTGTGGAACCGAGAGACTGACCTCTCGGAGGGCCCCTGGACTGGCAAGGGTCAAGAAACAGCTAGGATCTGTGATTTCACTCTGGAGTTTTCTTGGCAAAGGCAACGGGGAAGGGAGGACCCCTGGGGCAGACAGAACAGCACATGCAGGAAAGGCCCCAAAGTAGCAGAAAGGATGAAATGTTCCAAAAGCAGGAAGAAAGCCCTTAAGACCTGAAAGGTGGGCACAGTCTTGGAGTCCTTGCGAGGACCGTTAGACTTGATCCTCAGGGCACATGAAGGCAATGAAGGGTTTTAAGTGAGGCATCGGTTTGATCCGTGTACTGTGATCAGTCGCTGCAGCCTTTTGATTTTCAGACCGTGTTGGAAATGGTTTGAATAATGTTGCACTGTTATGTAAGAGCAATTCCATGCTCCACTTCCAGGACTGTCAGGGAACCCACCACATCCATTTTACTTTCTCTCATGCTTGTTTGTGGATATAAAATAGATTTTAAATAACAACTAAACAACATGAGGAATAATTAGGAAAAAACATTCTATGTCACTTGTAGTATTTATACTCTTCCATATTCTCCTACCAGACTCAAAGGTGAGGCAGTATGGTGTAGTATCTTAAAGAGCGTGGACTCTGGAGCCTGGGTTCAAAATCCCAGCTCTGGCACTTACTTCTTTGTGTGAACTTGGGCAGATTACTTATTTTCTCTATTCCTCGGTTTCCTCATTTGTAAAATGGGGAATAATAGTAGGACCCCAATAGGCAGAGTGATCACTTAATTTATCAGACAAAGTGGAAGTTTTGGAGATAGAACAGGGTTCTAGCATACGTCAATGTACATAAAGTGCTTAGAATAGTACCTGGCACATAGTAAGGGCTGCTTGCTATCATTATTGGGAAGCTTTCATTTACTCCTTAGAAGATGAGAACCACCGCCAAGTTTTAAACATCAACATGGGCCAGGCGCAGTGGCTCACACCTGTAATCGCAGCACTTTGGGAGGCTGAGTCGGGGGGATCACCTGAGGTCAGGAGTTCGAGATCATCCTGGCCAACATGGTGAAACCCCATCTCTACTTAAAATACAAAAATTAGCTGGGCGTGGTGGTGGGTGCCTGTAGTCCTGGCTACTCGGGAAGCTGAGGCAGGAGAGTCGCTTGAACCTGGGAGGTGGAGGTTGCAGTGAGCCGAGATCGCGCCACTGCACTCCAGCCTGGGTGACAGAGTGAGACTCTGTCTCAACAACAACAACAAAAAATAACAATAATAGATCAACATTGTTGGAAGAGAGAATTGAGAAATATTTAGAATTCCATGGAACTGTAGCAAACTTGATGGTATTTTAGTTTGATAAAGATTATCTTTTGACAGAAAACTAAGCAAAGAAGTAAAAAACTAAATAAAAACAAACCATAGGTGGGCTTGGAAAGACAAATCCTTTTGGTGGGCAATACTAGTTCAACGCCAATGTAAGTACTTTTTCAAATAGGTTTAAAACAATCTGATTTACAGATTTGGGTGTTAATCTGCCAGAAGCATCAACTAGATGAGCATTTAATTTAGTTCTGATTATTAAAATAATAAGCGCTAGTTATAGAGAATTTGAAGAAGAAAATGAAAGTCATTCATTCCCCTACCACTAAAAACAACCAGCATTTACATTTAGCTACATGCTCTGGTATGCAACATGCCACTTTCTGCATGCTTTCTTTCCCCTGTGCATTCATATATGTGTGTGTGTGTGCCTGTGTCCATCAAAATTTTTTCAAAATCAAGATCGCTCTATAAATGCATATGCATTGGTTTGCTAGGGCTGCTATTAGCAAAGAACCACAAACTGGGTTGCTTAAAACAGCAGAAACTTATTGTCTCAAAGTTCTGGAGGCCAGAAGCCTGATAGCAAGTTGTGAGCGGGCGATGCTCTCTCTGAAGGTTCTAGGGTAGGATCCTTCCATACCTCTTCTAGCTTCTGGTAGTTGCTGGCAATCCTTGATGTTACTTGGATTGTTGACAACATCACTCCAACCTTTGCCTCTGTCTTTACATGGCCTTTCTCCCTGTGTTTCTTTGTCTCTATGTGTTCACAGGGCCTTCTTATAAGGATATCAGTCATTGGATTTAGGGCCCACCCTAATCCAGTATGACCTCATTAGCTTCACTAATTATACGTGCGGATACCCTATTTCTAAATAAAGTCACATCCTGAGGCTCCACGTGGACATAAATATTTGGAAGTCATCATTTAACCCAGTAGAGCATGTAACGAAGATAGCTGACTTCACAGTGTAAGATACCATACTATCCCTACAACCTAGAGTATCGCAAAGTGCGGTATTTGAATCCCCTCTCGCTAAGAAATACTGCTAATCTTTGAAAGGAGATTCAAATACTGTACTTTGGGATAATCTAGGTTGTAGGGTATCCTGAAGTGAGCGGGGGCTTCTGACATCATCCGGGACCCAGGGAGGAGAATCTAGTCTCCCTAGAATCACAGAAACTACACCCTGGACTTGGCCACTTCACAGGGCAAGCCACCTCAGTGTGAGCCACCATGCTGAGCAGGGCCATTGTAATGTCAGCACTCGCGTAGCCACTGCCTGGGCACACACCTGTCTCCCGAGGCACTGCCCTGGAGGAGACTTGTGTTTCCTTGCTCATGGACCACAGTGATCGCTGACACCATTTTTCCTTTTGACTCCAGGGTACAGCAGACCACCTGTCCCATCTCTTTCCACACTCAAGATAATCGTATTTTAAACGACACTCTGCTTGATCCTGTTGGGGAGCCTTATTAGGCCCTCTCAATCCACCCCAAAAAGTTGTCCAACTTTGAGTTTCAGTGATAAGTTGTTGAGAGTCTCAGTCACTTCCCCCTCAGAAGGCCCCTGGGCTCCTTAGACAAGTGAGACCACTTCCTCCTTAGAACAATTTGTACTAAGAAGCACTGGGAGCAATATCTTGGTTCAGCCCAGAAAAGGTACTGTCCTTCCCTCAGGCAACAGGTGCCTAACTGCCTCTGACATTTCAGAACAAGTACATAACTATTAAGGTGTTCTTCTCATGAGAAGGAAAGGAAGTTAGGAGGCTGGTGGTCTCCTCCTACAGACCTAGAAATGTCTGGCATCATTTGAAAGTCCACTGGCCATGTTGTACTTTGAAATTCAGTTTAATTACCGTAAGCTCCATAGCATCCTATCACATGGATATAACATACTGTAACTTATTTAACTTTTCCCATATTTTGATATATTTAGGTGATTTCCTACTATAAATTAACTGAGATAAAAATCCCCACTCAGGGCTGGGTGTGGTGGCTCACACCTGTAATGCTGACATTTTGGAGGCTGAGGCAGGAGGATCACTTGAGGCTAGGAATTTGAGGCAGGCCTGGGCAACATAGAGAGATCTCAACTACAAAAAATTTAAAAATTAGCCAGGTGTGGTGATGTGCACCTGTGGTCCTAGCTGCTGGGGAGGTTGAAGTGGGAGGATCACTTGGGCCCAGGAGGTTGAGGCTGCAGTGAGTCATGATCATGCCACTGCACTCCAGCCTGGGTGACAGAGCAAAACCCTGTCTCAAAAAAGGGGAAAAAAAAATCCTCATTCGTTCATTCATTCATTCTACAAATATTTATTAAGCATTATGCTAGTCATTGTGTTAGGTCCAGCAGGATCTAAAGGTCTTATTCTCAAAGAGCTTATGTTGTAATGACAGGAAAAGAGGATTGCAAACAAGTGACTGTAAAATGGAATGCCTTCATACTTACAAGGAAGAAAAATAAAATGGTGCCAGACTGTAGTGCTACAGGAGTTGCTATTCCAGGTAGGGTGAGAGGGAGGGCTTGTGGAAAAGCTGATGTTTGATACAACCTATCCAATCTGGCAAATTGGGGAAGGTGTTCTATAAAGCACAACAACATCCACTTGAAGTTTTGTCTCTTTTGTTTTCTTTCATTGTTGTTTTGCTAATTGTATCACATATGAAAATAAATAAAACAGAGATCACTTGATTAAGTGAAATTACCACTGAAATCAAGACAAGTGCAGTTTGTACAAGTAAATGATGAGTCTACTGGATTTTAAAAAATCAGTGGCTGTTCAAAAAAAACACAATTAATATCATCTACTCTGTGAAATATGTGTGCTTTTAAATGAAAGGACAACATTGAAAACTTGGAAAAGCAGCCATCAAAACATGCTCCCTTGAAATGTGGCTGGATCTGTTTGTAATGGTTTCTTTCTTCTTAAGAGATTTGAGCGTTTTTTGCCCCTCAATAGTTTTGTCAACAACTAAACTGGCAGCAAATGAAAACTAGAAGACCTACTCAGACTCTGAAAGTAAATCTTTCACAACCTACTATTGCAATTTACTTTATTAAAAAGACCCTCTCTGCCTTTAAAATACTGCCCTAAATTTCAAATACTTGAATATCTTTGTCCCACTGATAACCAACTTCTTCATAATTTGGTACTTTAGTTTTATCACATTGCAAAATTTTAGGTAGCCAGATATCCAAATGTTTTCAAACTAAATTCCTGCTGTTGCTGTTTAAAATGTATATGTGTGTAGATGTATGTTTGTGCACATGTGTATGTGTGTGTACACGTGTATGTGTGTGTATGTGTATGCATGTGTGTCTGGTGTGTGTACATGCATATGTGTGTGCACATGTGTTTGTGTGTATGTGGGTGTGTGTATGTGTGCACATATGTGTGTGCATGTGTGTGTGTGGCATGTGTATTCTGGTTATCTATCTAATGCTGTGTAACAAACTATCCCAAAACTTGATGGCTTAAACATCAATCATTTTCCCATATTTATTGTCTGTGGGTTGAGAACTTGGGCAGGGCTTTCCTGGACAATTGTTATGCTCTGTATCACAGCAATGAGGTCACTCTGTGGAATTCAGCTGGTGGTGGGGCTAGGTTGGAGGGTCCAAGAAAGCTTTATTCACATGTGTGCCTCCTTGGCAGGAACAACAGGGAAGCCAGGCCCCTTTTTCTCTCCGTGTAGTCTCAAGAGCCCCTTTCTGTGGTCTCTCTAGCAGGGTTGTCAAACTTCTTACATGGTGGCTCAGGACTCCAGACCGTGTTCCAAGAGATGAGGGTAGAAGCTGCCAGTCTTTAAGGCCTAAAGGGAGCCTGGCACAGGGCCACTTGCATTGCATTCTATTGGTCAGAACAGTCCCAAAACCTGCTGGATTAAGAGGAAGTGACATAGACTTCACCCCTCAAACAGGAAGAGTATCAGAGAATTTTGTAGCCATGTTTAAGCTGCTACAATATATATTTAACTTTTTATTATGGAAATGTTAAATATATATAAAAGTTGACAATCAGTATGCAAACCTCTATGTACCCATCATTCAGCTTCAACAGTTGTCAACTCATGGCTAATTTGTTTCATGTATACCCCACCCACTTTCTCTACCCCTATATTATTTTAAATCAATCCCTAATACTAATTCATCCACTGCAGTTAAGTTTTATAGTGCTATGCTGAATAGAGGAGAGAACTTCTTTTAAAGGAATTATCTATTCATTTCATTTCACAGACTTTTCTTTGTTAATACCAACCTGCTCATACCTCTTAGAAGGTGTGTTTCTTCCAAGAAATCTCTATTTGAACAGACACAACAAGCGCTTTCCTGCCTATGTTCTGGTGAAACACAAACTGGACTAGGAGTCAGGAGACCTGGGGTCTAGCATCCCAGCCACTGACCAGCTATGGTAGATGATAATCATAATGATAATAGTTAACTCTTACTGAGTCCTCACTTGACTCCACATTCATTGTTTCACTTCTACGATTATTCCCATTTTACAGATAGGGTTAGAAAAGTTAAGCAACTTGCCCAGGATCAAAGAATAGCAGAGGTGGGATTGTATCTAAATCACACTAGGCCCTATTTCCTCCTGGATCCAATGTGGTCAATCATACAAACTCAGCCTACTTCACTGGAAAATTATATATTAAATGCTCAATAAACCACTTTGACAATACTTCAATATCAAATCGCAAAACCTTTTGAAATAGGTAATATATTTTCATGGCTCAAAAGTCGAAACAATATCAAACCGTGACGGGTCTGGCTCCCCTCCTCTTCCATTTATCTCATTCCACTTCCTATTTTCTCTGTACAAGTAAGCATTTTTATTATTTATTTATGCAAATACAGCAAATGTGAATGTGTGTATTATTGTTTCTCCTTTTTCTTACACAAAAGTAGCGCCTTTATGTGTTTAATCTGTATATTCCTGTACCAGCAAATAGCTTTCTCATCTTGTTTGATAGCTGCCTAGAATCTCATTATGTGGACACATCATCATTCATTTAACAAGTTCCCCATGGATGGACATTCAATTTTCCCCAACCTTTTGCTATTACAGACAGTCAGTGGCAGAACCTCTTAGTTCCCTGGTTTGTTCAGTGCTGCCATTTCTCACCCACTTCTGATGTTTAATACAAGAAATTCATCAGGTTTGACTTAAAGAACTATTCCTTCTTTCAGAGTCTTCTGATCAGGGCACCCCCAGGCACCTAAGAATCCGAACCCACAAATGTATCATTATCATCATCCCTTGTTACCAATCTTGTCTAGGTTTGCTTATTTTAAAACTCTGCCCTATACTCCTAGGTCGGTGTGAGCTTGCTGGTCTAAGGTCTGATATCTTAGAAGAAGTACTTCTGGGAAAAGGTATCTTGAAGTGTGTGTTTCCTTTATCACAAATTTGTGCAATTGAAAACCCATGCTAGATGCACTAAGGACATAGCCCAGAGAGATATATGATTGTTGACTTAAAGAGAGATAGGAGGCACAATCCCAAGGGATGTATCTCATGACTTTACGAGTTTCCCCTTGCTTTCCTCTCTACTCTTGAAGACAAGGAGTAATTCTACAACTGACTTTAAGAAGACCGAGTTTGTTGTGGCCTATGTGTGGTGATGTCAAAGATGGCCCTGGATTTTCCTCATTTCTCTTCCTTTTGTCATTGCCTGAAATTCCACCAATTACAGATTTATTTGGGTTTAAAGTATCTCATTTGAAAGGTAAATATCTTCAGTCATTCATATCTTAACAAAGATTGCTGTTCTATATTACCCTATCCTAACACCTAGTACAGATCAGCCATGCTGAGCTAGAATATACTGAGGGTTGGAGAGTGTGATCATTTTGGAGCTAGTGGAAAGGTGAGTGGGAAGGGAGCCGAAGGGGGAACAAATCCAGGATGGTGGAGGCCGAGAGCTCTTATCACCTCCTCCATAGAAGGAAAGGGAAGGGAAGCAGAGAACAGAGACGTGCAGAAGAGAACTGGGTGGGCCTGAAAGGAAACATTGCCCTCTTCATAATCTTGCCCAAGAGTAGTTCTCCTTATTTGGACATACTTACCAAGGATGTATCCATTGCCTACTGTTTGTCAAGGCTTACTATTCCAACTGTAAATCGGAATCTAGAGATGGCAGAACAATGTCTAGCCCGAAAATACACGTTGGTATATGTAGTTGTTTGGATAGCAGTATCATTAGCACTGTGGTTTAACCACAGAACATTTTGTTTCATGGTCTGGATTTCAAAATTCTCAAACATATCATTATTCCCACCCCAAAAGCAGGCCAACTACCTAGACTAGGGCCAAGATTTTTAAGAAAGGACGGAATGAGGGGAAGGAAAGCAATACTCGCATTTTGAAAGAACTAAGTTAGTGATTTCTAAAACAATTCAACAGAAAAGAATCTCAGCTTTATGGACGTATCAGTCCTCCATCCTCTCCTCTGCAAAGACTCCCCAAGCAGCTGACATCTTTAATATAAGGTACCATGCTGCCCTGTAAATGGCAAAGTAGTCTAATGCAGCATCTGTTTTTTCATAGATCAACCTCAAGGGATCAAAAAAATCCCATCATGCAACCATGTGTGCTGAACCCTTT
This sequence comes from Homo sapiens, assembly GCF_000001405.40. Taxonomy (NCBI): domain Eukaryota; kingdom Metazoa; phylum Chordata; class Mammalia; order Primates; family Hominidae; genus Homo; species Homo sapiens. The sequence continues at coordinate 82,601,433 of NC_000004.12, read as the reverse complement.
GCAGGCTTGGCAGATATTAAGCAATAGTGTTCTACTTCCCACGCTTCTGCCAGGATTGTCTTTTTGTTTGTTTGCTTGTTTTGACAAATCTATGTAGTTTCTGGGTCTCCTTTTGATTTTTTAGTTCATCCCCATTCCTCCTCTCCTGGCCACGGTAAATACTGTACATTGATCCCCTCCTCCCTTCTCTCGCTATACATTATATTCTGTATTATTTACTGTGACATAAATGTTATTATTTAAGCAACACAACAATATTAGTAGTTAACAGTTGCAATTAGTAGTAATTAATAGTAGGACTAATTAAATAATACGTGTTAGAAAAAATAACAATGTTTTTTAAAATAAACTTTTTATTTAAAAATAGTTTTCTTCAGCTTTTTTTTTTTTTTTTCAGAGACAGGGTCTAGCTCTGTTGCCCAGGCTGGAGTACAGTGGTGCAATCCTGGCTCACTGCAACCTCCACCTCCTGGGCTTAAGCAATCCTCCTGCCTCAGCCTCCCAAGTATCAGCTTCTATTTTATATTTACATTGTACTTCATTCTTATCCCCTGTTGGAAGACCCCATTGCTGAGCTACAGGAAGCCAGATTGTGGGATGTGCTTGAAGAATATTTCAAGTAGCACTAGTCGCCTGTGAAGAACACAGGCCAACAAGTCAGATCATGATAACGTGGGTAAACTTTGATAACAACATTTAATTTTCCTGTGCCTTAGTTTTTTCCTTCTGTGAAATGGAATTATTTTAAAAAATCTTTTAAAATAGTACTTAGCATAAGCACTTTTGCATGCACTATCTCATTTGCCCCTCAAAACAACCTCATTAGGGTGGATATTCCTATGCACAGACCAATCTGACTTTGGTCACTGTTAGGTGCTGCAGACATTGTTGGTTCCTATACACCCTTCCTTCTTTGCCAACAGGACACTGATTTGCCAGGTGTCCCTCCCTCAGGGAAGAGGACTCTCACCCAGCTCAGTGGCGAGCCCTGAATAGCCCAAGCCAATCATGATGATTTTCTTCTCTCTGCTGGTGGTTGTTTTGGAGGTGGGCAAATGATCCAGTTCTGGCTAATGAAACAAGAGATGAAGGTAAGGGAGAGGGGGAGGAGAAGCTTCCAGGAAAGTCTTCCAGGTCTTAGATGAGACAGTCCTTCTGGACCTCATGCCTGCGTCTGAGATCTAGAACTGCGGAAACCCTCTTGTGTCTATGTGGGGAACTAGCCCAGGGGAAAGCCAACAAGTTAGGATGACAGAGGGAAAAGACGGAAGAATGCAGGTCCTTGATGATGTCATTGAGCCAATGAATTAACCAAGCCTAGATGCATCCTGCTTTAGGACTTCATATTACCTGTTACAGAAAGCAGTAAATCTGCCAGGCACAGTGGCTCACGCCTGTAATCCCAGCACTTTGGGAGGCTGAGGCGGGTGGATCACGAGGTCAGGAGTTCGAGACCAGCTTGGCCAACATGGTGAAACTCCATCTCTGCTAAAGATATAAAAAATTAGCCAAGCACAGTGGCATGTGCCTGTAATCCCAGCTACTGGGGAGGCTGAGGCAGGAGAATTGCTTGAACCTGGGAGGCGGAGGTTGCAGTGAGCCGACATCGCGCCACTGCACTCCAGCCCAGGGGACAGGGCAAGATGCCTCCTCAATTAAAAAAAAAAAAAAAAAAAAAGGTAAATCTCCTTTCTGATTGCCAGGGTTTTCTGCTCTTTGCAGTGAAAGACAACTTAGATAATGTGTCAAAGCTTAAGGTAGATTTGAGTCTTTTGGCTCCAAAGGGACCAGTCGGCTCTTGTGAGTCTAAGTACTGTCCCTGAGGCCTTGAACAGTGGTTCCTGACCCTGATATACATTAAAGCCACCTGGGGGCACTCAAAACATGTTTATGCCTGGCTCTTACCCTCACAGGTGCTGATGCAATTGGCCTAGGTCGGGGTCTAGGGCTTGATAATTTTTTAAAACCTCCTCGGGCAATTTTAGTATGAGAACCATTGGTCTAAAAGCACCAGAGGACACAAGAGATGTATTTTAGGACTCTTTTTCCTTCTCAGTGCAGTCCTGCCTCCTCTCCCCCACCCCACCTCACGTTCTTAGCCGCTCCCAAATATAGGGTGACCGTACATCCTGATTTAGCTGGGACAGCCCCAATTTATCACTATTGCCATGGCATAATTATCAATAGCAAACCTCTTTATTCTCAAAAGTGTCCCAATTTGGAGGATTGGTTGCCCTAACTAAAAGCCCTCACAGTGGTGCTGGTTTCATGAAGACTCTGCCCACTACCACCCCTTTATTTCAGATCGATGTGTGCCTAGCCCAGGGTTGGTAGGAGGCTCAGGTGTGAAGAGAACCTATTCAGCTTTCTAGAATTTTTTGTTTTGTTTTGTTTTGTTTTGTTTTTTGTTTTGAGACGGAGTTTCATTCTTGTTGCCCAGGCTGGAGTGCAGTGGCACGGTCTCAGCTCACTGCAATCTCTGCCTCCCAGGTTCAAGCAATTCTCCTGCCTCAGCCTCCCAAGTAGCTGGGATTATAGGCACCCGCCACCAGGCCCAGCTAATTTTTGTGTTTTTAGTAGAGACGGGGTTTCACCATGTTGGCCAGGCTGGTCTCAAACTCCTGACCTCAGGTGATCCACCCACCTCGGCCTCCTAAAGTGCTGGGGTTACAGGCATGAGCCAGTGTAGCCAGCCTAGAGTTTTTAATAAGTGTTTCAGTCCCCGCCTTAGAGATTTGAGAATTAGGGTAGAAGAGGGGTAAATTGGGAATTAGGAGAGAATCCCAGATGTCTTATAGAAAGTTAAGTATTCCCTGAGCTATTTTTAGGTCCTAAATTCTTTGTTACCACTCTGGTGTGCACACAGTCCTGCCTGAAGTCAGGGGAACATTTTAAGTGTTCCCCCCAGGTTCTCCCCATCCCCAGGATTCTCTGATAATGCACATCCTGCTGCAGCTTTTCAGAATTGGAAGAGGAAATTGCACCGTGGGAGCTGCTGAAGCAGAAGAGAGCTCTTGATTTAAGATGCTGGAGTGATACTCAAAGCAGATAGTCGAAGCATCCAGCAGAAGAAATTGAGAGGCCTGGAAAGCAAAAACCAAGAGAGAGATATTGAGTTGCTTTACAATGAGCTAATGAAGGTTTAGGAAGTTTGCTTGGGGTTAATAAGGCACTCTGGATATCATGCAAGTTGCTAACATATGGATGTAGAGGAAGCCAGCTTTGTCTACCAGGGCAGAGCAAGCGGAGTCTTACCTGAGAATCAGAGATCTGATGAATCTTTTGGGGGAAAGAAGAACTCCAGGAAGCTGTGATGAAGACTCCTAAACAAGAAGGGACCATCGAGGCCTCCCTCTTTCACTTTCTTGGGCAGTGCCTTAGGTGTTTGGAGAGGTTACTCTGTGGGAAGGCAAAGTCGAAGGCCCTAAGAACTCTCTAGAAACCCTGGTCAGTTGTTGAGAAATGGAAATTCTATAGAACGAAACATTTAAAAGTTGGAGAACTCAGGAGTTCTTTTATCCAACTCAGAAGAGATTAGAAACTGAAGAGCAAGTTTCCTGCTCTTGCCCTAGAGGCAAGAGAGCTCTCCCCTCCCTCTAGAAGAAAAGCAGGGTTAACTGCGGGAACTGTTTCAGTTATGTATTACCATGTCACAAACTACTCCAAAACTTAATGGCTTAAAAAAAAAACCACCATTTATTTGGTCGCAGTTTTGCTGTTAGGTCTGCGTTAGCCTGGACAATTCAGGTTTCTCCATGTAGCATCTCCTGGGGACAACTTGACTTTCAAGTTGGCGTGCTCACCTGGCTGGCCAGCTGGGGCCGGTAGACCCAGGCCTTGACTCTCTTCCCTGTTGGCCTCTCCAAGTGGCTGTTTGGGCTCCCTCATAGCATGGAAGCTGGATTCCAAGAGGGAAAAAGAGGAAGCTGCTGGTCCCACTTAATGGCAAGGCTCAGAACCAGCATAGCATCACTTCCACTGTATTCTACTGACCAAAGCCCAGATCATAAGCGGAGGGGTGGAGAAAGAGTTTCCATCTCTCAGTAACAAAAGTGACAAAGAATTTGCTGCCATCTCTAATACTCTACATGGGCAGTGAAAAAAGTTAACCATTGAATGTCACGATAAATGGCTATGGAAGTATAACTTCAAGGTTGTCAATGAGACAATGTCTGGCTCTCCAAATGGGAGGGAAAGAGAAATTTGGAGGGTTCAGTGTTTCTGGTGATTCATTAGTAAGACAGCAGAAACAAAGGCCATTGTCATTGTCACTGCTACTGTAACTCATACTCCTGGTCTTACTATTAAATTTGTGTAGGGAGGAGAACACACAATACATATCTATACCCCAAAACTTTAACATTTAAAAGATTGACATGACTTGAATTATTTCATTTGAAAGCATTAGGTTAAAATATGTGCAAGATCATATAATAGGTCCTAAATCAAATATAAAGTGACTCAAAATGTGGTTTCTGTCCTCTGGGAGCTTTTCCATTGACTTAGCAAGTAAGAGCCAACCATGTGCCAAACACGGTACTAGGTATTAATAGCAGGGGGAGGCAAAGCTGGAAATACCAGTGCCTCCACCTCTTTCTAGATAAAAATATGAACATAAAGATTATAAGGCCATCAGGCCGGGCACAGTGGCTCGCTCACACCTGTAATCCCAGCACTTTGGGAGGCCGAGGTGAGCAGATCACAAGGTCAAGAGATCAAGACCATCCTGGCCAACATGGTGAAACCCTGTCTCTACTAAAAATACAAAAATTAGCTGGGTATGGTGGCACGTGCCTGTAGTCCCAGCTACTTGAAAGGCTGAGGCAGGAGACTCATTTGAACCCTGGAGGTGGAGGTTGCAGTGAGCCAAGATCATGCCACTGCACTCCAGCCTGGCAACAGAGTTAGACTCTGTCTCAAAAAAAAGATTATAAGGCCATGTAACAAGTATGACCCAAGCTCCGTACATGATAAGTTATGTATGTGTATAGTAGAAGAAAGAGTAAAGATAAACAACTCAAATCTTAATGATGGGATTATGAGTGGGCTTTTGCTTTCTTCTTTACACTTAATACTTGACTATTTTCAAAAATGAACATTACTTTCAAGATAGAGCACATATTTTAAAATGCAATATAATGTTTTAATAGAGAAATGGCCAGAATGCTCTGGGATCCCAAAGAGAGTCCCTGGCTCCTCCTGGAAGGAGAGGAGAGAAGTTCACATCAGCCTCTTACAGTGACATCAAAGTGACATCAAAGTCATGGCTTGAAGGGTGAATAGAAGTTGCAGTTGATATCTGTCTTTTTGGATAAACCTTTTGTTTGCAGGAGCATTCTTCATTGTGCGTGGTACTGTTGACCCCCTCAAGGAAAGTCAGAGGCTAAGAGGCTCCATTTCCTTCCCTCTTTCTTAGAAGCCAGGGCATGTACAGAAAAACTAAATTCAGCCTGCCAGACCCCCTGCCCAGGATGTTGAATCTGGTGTGAAAGGCACAAAGAAGGGATGGGTAGAATTTATGTACAATAAAACGGGGGCCAGCAGCAACACTGCTGAGCAGGAGCAGTGGTGAAATCCTACTAAAAAATAGCTGTGGCCAGGCTATTTTAAAATTATATATATATAATTTATAAAACATTATAAGTATATGCTGAGTTTATTAGCAAAGATGCAGTAGAAAAAAGTGGCATCAGCTAGAGAGTTGGAGAAGAGAAAAGAATAGTTATTCTAGACAGAAGGAAAGGTCTGTGTGGGTTGAAGAGATCTGTGTGCATTTAGGAAGCTGGTGGTAAAGTATAGTTCAATGCAGCTGAACCATGGATGAGTAGCAAAGGAACTTGCAAGGTTGTTGGGCACTAAATTCTAACGATGCTGAAGCTAGGACATAGAACTTGGACTTTATTTGGTAGTTAACAGGGGAACACAGAGGGTTGGTGAGCTGCGAGTGTCATCATGCAAGTGACGCTTAACGATGTGAAGTCTGGTGGCCATGGATAGAATGGTCAGTTAGGAGCTACTGCAACAATGTAGGATGAGATGGTAACACCTTGAATTAGGCTGATGGCCATGGGAATGGAAAGAACTAATGTGCAAAAAGCTTTATAAATAAGGATTTGTAAACTGGCACCTCCTCTGCTAAGAAACAAAACAAAACAAAATGATTTTAGCCCAGGTGCAGTGGCTCACACCTGTAATCACAGCACTTTGGGAGGCTGAGGTGGGTGGATCACCTGAGGTCAGGAGTTTGAGACTAGCCTGACCAATATGGTGAAACCTCATTTCTACCAAAAAATACAAAAATTAGCCAGGCATGGTGGTGTGTGCTTGCGGTCCCAGCTACTCAGGAGGCTGAGACAGGAGAATCGCTTGGAGACAGGAGAATCGCTTGATCCCAGGAGGCAGAGATTGCAGTGAGCCAAGATCACACCACTTCACTTCAGCCTGGGCAACAGAGTGGGACCCTGTCTCAAAACAAACAAAAAACCAAAAAACCCAAAATGATTTTAGACATACATGTGTATACAATCACTGTTTATAAATCAGCTATGTTTTCTTTTATACACAGACTATAACATACCACATAAGCCAGTTATAATTATCTTCAAGTAATAGAGTGGTGAATTTATTCCATACATTATGCAAAATACACAGGATATATAGAGCCAGACAGAAATACAATGCATCATTCCATGAAAGTGCTTGTTGTGTGTGCATGTGTGTGCGTGTGTGTGTGAACTTGGAATGTGCTATGCAGCAGAAAACTTAAACTGTAGATGGATGTCTCGAATTCCTCTGAGGAATCAGACTGTTTCTTGTAAGTCTGCTCTTACTGCAGTTGGAATTGCTGATGAATACAAGGGACCATTGCTGAGTAAGTGGGAGTTCATCGCGTTTGACTATGGAAAAAACTCTGATGGGTCCAAGGACAGTGACATTTAAACAGCTCCTTAGCAAACAGGATGAGCCAAGGCAATTATGTGATACATTGAAATTCCATTTACAACCCTCCTTCTATCATGCAATCAAGTCTATTGATTCTACTTCCTAATTATATTTGAAATTCGCACCCTATTCTAGTCTAACCCCTCACTGTCACCCCAAAACTCAACTCAAAACCACCTTCTTAACTGCAACATCCCTAGTCAAAGTCAAGTCCCTTGCTCTCCCGTGAAGGAGACTGTCTGCTTTTGTGTTGCCCCTTCTCAGCAAGTCTGTGCTCATGGGCCTTGCTAAACAGGCGGCAGGCTTCATGACTCCTGCCCCCAACCACATTTGGGCCTGACTCAGGACTGACCTATCAGATTATCTTTGTCGGTAATTTGGAATTGGGACCCAGCGAGTCTAATTAGCTGTAAGTGGTGGATCTGAGCATGATGTAGAGGCTGGAGCTTGATGCCCTTTTGGGGGAAGCCAAGGTGAGCCTCATAAAAACAGAGCAATGGGACTAATCTGGAAAGAGAGAGAGGAATAGAGCTGCCAAAGCAAATGGATACAAAAGACTCCATTACCCCCAGAAGGAATGAGAAAGATGGGGAGATAGAGACAGACTACTAGCTACTCTGGTTTCTGATATTTCAGGTTCCAGCTCCTGGGTCTTGTGAGGCCAGAATGCACTTCCTGCCTTGAATTCCACGACATTTTCCTACATCCTTATAATAAGCCCTCCTTGATTCCAGCCAGTTTGAAGTAATTCTTATTCTTTGCACCAAACATGCCCTAATTAACATCCCACAGCACCTGCTCCATGCTCTGTCTTAGCACTGACCATATTACACTGTAGCTGATTATTTGCTGTCTCCTTTCCTTATTGGGCTTTGAACTTCCTCGAGGGCAAGAACTTTGTACTACTCGTCTTTTGTATCCTTAGCCTTTAGAAGAGTGACTGGCGTATAGCAGATATTCAGTAAATGTTTAGAAAGTACTTTTAGAGTTAGGGGTCAACACTTTCACAACTTATATTGATTCTGCTTTAGTGTGGCTCTTATTTTTCCATTGGATTTTGACAGCATAGACGTTAAGCATAAGCAATTGCTTCTGCGCTGTTCTGGGAGTCTCAGAGCCCTGTACTAGAAGCTGGTAAATGCCAGACGCCTGGGCTGGAAGGGATCTTGGGAGGCCATTGCTCTGTAAAAACTAGACATAGCCCTGCAGTGAAAGATTGGCCACTCTCTTTTATTTAAAAATGTTACTTAACTTCCCCCACACAAATATAATAGCAACACTAATGGAAAGCTAAATTTTAAAAAAATTTATCCACAGTGTTATCACTGCAATAAAATAACCTATTTTCAAAGTCCACATCCCCCGCTTGTCTCTGCTTATATACATTCATGTAACTTTTACAGGGTTGTAGTCATTATTCAAATAAAAATCTTTCTCTCATTTTTCTTTAAGAATTCATCGTAATTATTTCCCCCATGTTGCTACAGAAACTTTCTTAGTTTTAATGGCTCTGTAAAATCATCATTGATTAGATATGTATTAAATTACTTAAATTCTCCTGCTATGGGCATCTTTCTTAATTTGGTCTTTCTTTTACTCTTTTCTCTCTTTCTTTCTCTCTCCTTCCTTCCTTCTTTCCTTCTTTTCTTCCTTCTTTCCTTCCTTCCTTTCTTTCTCTCTTTCTCTCTTCCTCTCTTTCTTTTTCTTTCTTCTTCTCTCCCTTTCTTTCTTCTATTACAAATATGGTTGCATTAGGCATGTTTGCATAAATTCTTCTTTTCTTTTAGCTTGGTTCTTTTAGAATAATTCTGTCCAAGCGCTGATACTGGCTTAAGGCTCCGCTTTTATTCAACAACAATAACTGGGCATCTACTGCTTCAGCTGCTAAGTGCTGGAGACACAATGACAAAAATAGTGTCCTGGCCCTCAAAAAGCTCTCTTCTTGGTGATGGAGAGAGATATAGTGACAAATAAATTAGAATATACCATGGTAAACTATAAAATAGGTAAGAGAAAATTGCTATAAAGCCCAGACTAACTTGTCTGGGAGGGTGTTTGGTTTGCTATATTTCTTTTTAAAAGATGTGTATGTTCCCTGCCCCAGCAACATATGGGTATACCAGCTTCCTTGCAATCTCTCTGGCCCCAATGTCATTACTAGAGACATGCAAAGAAGGAAATTTGAAGTTCCCCTAATTGTAATAATGATCACTTATTGAATTCTTATCATGTTCTAAGAGTTTATGTATCTAATACAATTCTCTTGATAACAATGTGAAGTACTTATTATTGTCTTGTTTTATAGAGTAAGAAATAGAAGCTCAAAGATGTAAAATAATGTACCAGAGTCACACAGCTCAAAAGTCATGCAACTGAGCTATAAATTCACCCAATTCAGCTACAGAACCAGACTCTCTTCTGTGGCTAATACGCCACAATTAAGAGACTCCTTTACAAACTGAAATCCCTTTCTCACTGAGGATGGGCACAGCTGGGCTCTGTCCTCTGTAAATGTAATGCCTTCTTTCTGGCAAGGGGCTTATTGGAAAGCATTGTCTTGTTCTTGAAGCCTTGAAGACCCGGTTTTACGTTTATTAAAACGTATTCTTTCTTTCCTCTTCCCACGTAACAGGCCCCCTTCCTAACCCTCATCCCCACCTTCAAGGGTTAAAGCAGTGTTTGCTCAGCAGCCAGTATTTGGATAGCACCTGGAAGCCCATTGTGATATGGCTGTACTACTAGAGTACTCCAGTGGACACAGGGACGAGCACATTCTCCAGATCCTTATTATGGCTCAGTGTGATCTTCATAGACATCATATTTGTCCCTCCTTTGACATTTCTATTTCCAGTCACTACAGTAACTGTATACAAAAAAATAAGTATATATGAGCTTACATATATAAAAACACATAAACATTCTCACAAATGCTTCCTAGGTACGGAATAATAATAAGACTAGTTAGCAACCAATCTGCATCTAAATAGGAAAAAAAAATGTCTTTGTTTGGGCTCCCAAGAAACAGTCCCTGAGACAGGGGCTCATGGGCAAGTGACTTACTAAGAAAATACTCCCAAGAGAAACCAGTAAGAGAGTGTGGGAAGCAGGACAGGGAAATGGGAAAAGCTGAGCATGGGTGTGATTTCAGGTGAAGCTTCTGCTGCAGCCTGATCCCCCCAGGGAAGCTCTGGAGAGGTAATTATACCTCAGAGTTTGTCTCAGTCTAGGCGAGGGAGCTGAACTTCGGTACTCCTGTGCCAGCCAGTCACTGGCTTTGGAGACAGATGTACACTCAGGGTACATTTGGCTCTCCAGACTTGGGCAAAGCAAATTCAGTAGCCCTTGGGGACTCCTCTGAAAAAGATCACAGCTCCTAGAAGAAAAGCATGGAGAAGTGGGGAGTGGGTGTGCAGAACCTTTAAAAGGCATCCTGCTCAGGACAGTGTCCACTCTGAAGCCCTACTGCCTGCTGGTCAAGAACACAGCTCTGGAAGGGGGTCTAAATTTGCATTCTAACTTCACTTTATGAGACATACTAGCTACTAACCTGTCCCCCTCAGACTTGCTTTCCTCCTTTGTAAAATGAGAATAATATCTTCTGGTGGGGAGGCGGTGGTGCAAACATTTGAGATCTTTTTTTGGAAGGATTATTTTGATGACTATCATAAGCAGGTGCTCAACAAATGGTAGCTATTAGTTCTGATTTGATGTAAGGATAATTTTTTAAATGTAGTCAGCCCAGCTGATCATATACATGAAGAAAACCCTTTCTATATCGTGAAATGTGCATAAACTATAGAGAGAGATGCTGTATTCTTCCTATTGCTTTGCCTATGTGGAGAACTCCTTACCTTAGAAAGAGCCATCAGTCTGGAAATGAAAAATAAGCTTCTTTTAAGCATGCAAGCAGGAAGGAATTTTAGTCTTGCTCTCCAGTGCTTTTTATTTTTAACTTTTTATAATGAAAATCTTTGAACATACACAAAAAGAGAGAAAAGAGCATAATGAGCCCCTGGAGAGGATAATGAGCCTGGTTTTAACAATTACCAACTCATGGCCAATCTGGTTTCATCTGTACCCAACACTTTCCTTCTTCCCATATTATTTTGAAGCAAATGCTAGATACTGTATCATTTCATCCATGAATATTTCAATATGTATCTCTAAAAGATAAGGGCATTTTTTTAATTTTAGTTAGTTAAATTAACATGCCATAAAACTGCCTTTTCGGTGTGTACACATGAATTTTAACACGTGTATAGGTTTGTGTACCATCATTATGATGAAGGTACAGATCAGTTCCATTACCCCAGAGGACTCTATTTTATCTGCAGCCACAAAACCATTATTACACCATTTAAAAATTGACAGCAACAAATAGAATTTTAAGAGTAAACATGATCCTATTTCTCTGCAATCATGGGCAGTCCCCCAACACACTCCAATTCATAGTATCCCTTTTACAAACGATGTGTTCATGTCTATGTGTAAATATATATATATACATAGAACAAGTTCTAAACATGTTCTATGTGTACATTGTTCTAACATGTTCTAAGCATTCTTCACCCTTGCTTCTGACAAGAGGTGAATAAACATGACCCTTTTGCAACAATTTATTCATTTCTTCTGCATATAATAATCTTCCTGACCAATACAGATCTCTGTGTTTGACAGACATTTCATAACACCCTCAGTTATCCTATTTAGTAGAATTGTACACCTTAAAAAATGACTCAGTGTTTATATTTTTAGAAGCATGGAGTGGTCTTAAGTTTTTGCTGAATGATACAGTGTTTTATCTGAAATAACTCAAATACTGCTTTTATTTCTTTAAAAACAGCTTAGAATCCAAGAGATGGAAGGGAGCTTAAAAATTATTTATTAGGATCTTTTCATTTCATGGATGAGGAAAATCAACTAAGAGAAGTTTAAAAATTTACAAAGGGCAAACAGGGGCCAGACGTGGTGGCTCACGCCTGTAATTCCAATGCTTGGGAGGCTGAGGCAGGTGGATTGCTTGAGCTCAGGAGTTGGAGACTAGCCTGGGCAACATGGTGAGACTCCGTCTCTACACAACACACACGCACGCACACACACACACACACACACACACACACACACACAATTAGCCAAGCATAGTGTCACATGCCTGTAGTCCCAGCTACTCTGGAGGCCGAGGTGGGAGGATTGCTTAAGCTCAGTAGTTCAAGGCTACAGTGAACCATGTTCATACCACTGCACTCCAGCCTGGGCAACAGAGCAAGTCCCCGTCTCTAAAAAAAACAAAAGGTAAACAGCTTGTTAGGACAATAGTTGAGACCAAAACTGGTTCTCCCGGACTGGAGGCTCTTTCCACTATAACATATTGTTGGCCATGATTTTTTCCTCACTCTTGCTGTTGCCTGAATGTGGATTCCATCAGCAGTTGCATATCCACATGCCATGAATAACAGTTAGGAATACTTAAAGCTACCAAAAAAAAAAAAAAATAGATGCTTTATGAAATGTCCAGAAAAGGCAAATCTATAGAGACAGAAAGCAGACTAGTGTTGCCTGAGGCTGTGAGTGAGAACAGGGATTTGCAGCAAACCAGCATGAGAGATCTCTTTGGGGTGATAGAAAATGTTCTAAAACTGGATTGTTGTGATGGTTGCACAAGTCAGTGAATCTACTAAAACTGTACACTTAACAAGTGAATTTTATGGTGCCTAAGTATAATTATACCTCAGTAAAGCTCTTTATAAAAAACAGTTGCAGAGATATTTCATGACTTCTTATAATGAGATGTCTAAAAGTAGCAATTCCCAGACTCACATTCCTCCTGTTTCTGGTCTGCTATCCCAAGTGTGTTGGCCTGTTCTCCTCACACACCTCCTCTCATGGTCCCAAGATGGCTGTTACAGCCCCAGGATCAGGTCCACATACCTGCCTAGAGGAAATACGGTATCAATGAGTTCTTAGCTCCTGCTGTCTTTGTAAGTCTCCCAGCTCACTTCTTCTGACCTTTTATTGGGTAGAACCAGGGCACATGGCACCCACCCCTAAATGCAAGAAAGCCTGAGAAAGTGCATAAATAGCAAATGAGAGCGGAGTTACCAAGATTGTTTTAATGCTGGAGCTGGTCACGTTGCCTCTCTGAATCAAAGTGAGGCTCTGTTGGCAAGAAAAAACACGGAGGAGCTGAGATGGATATTGAATGGGCAGCTAAAAGTGGCTGCCACACTGCGAAACTCATAATGTGCTAAATATGTTCTAATTTGTTCAGGGTTTTTATAGCATAATGGTTAAATGCACAGACTCTGGAGAGAGGCTACCAAGGATTCAATCCCAGTCCCACTATTATGGACTGAATTGTGTCCTCACCAAATTCGTATGTTGAAGCTGTAACCCCCAGTATCTCAGACTGTGATTGTTTGGAGATAAGGCCTTTAAGCAGGTGATTAAGTGAAAATAAGCCATTAGACTGGGTCCTAATCTAATCTGACTGGTGTCCTTATAAGAAGAGGAAATAGGACACACAGAGACACCAGGGATGTGCATGCTCAGAGGGATGGCCATGAGGAAAGGCAGCAAGAGGGCGGCCATCTGCATGAGTGTGCGTGCACGGAGGGATGCCATGAGGAGAGGCAGCAAGAGGGCAGCCATCTGCATGCCAAGGAGAGGCCTCAGAGGAAACCATTCCTGTTGGCACCTTGATCTTGGACATTCAGCCTCCAGAACTGTGAGAAAATAAATTTCTGTTTAAGCTGCCGCTTAAAATAAATTTCTGTTTAAGCCATCTATGGTATCATGTTATGGAAGGCCTGGCAAACAAATACATCCACCCAGCTCACAGTCTGACCTTAGATGAGTTAATTAACCACTCTGTGCCTCTGCCTCTTTCCCTGTAAACTGGGGATGATTAGTACCCTGCTTCATAGAGTTATGTGAGAACTAAATGAGTTAACCTGTAGAAAGTACTTGGAACAGTGGCAGGCACACAGTAAGCATGACAGGAATGATGGTATGATGTACACATGTGACTACATTTAAATGTATTATCTTGGCACATCTTTTATTCATCAACATTCTTTTATTGAACACATATTTATTGAATATTGAATATGTGCCAGGCTTGAGCTAGACACCTGGAGACATCTATGAGCAAGGTAGACTGCGTCCTGATATTGCTGAGCTTGTACTCTGATGGGAGAAACCATAATAAATAAGTCAACAAATATATAGACAGTGTAATGACAGATTATAAGAAATGCTGTGAAGAAAATAAACATAGTGATGAGACAGAAAAGAGAAGGAGCAACTGTCTTAGGTTGTGCAGGCAGGAACAATTAACCTGAGATCTGACTGGTGAAAGGCAGTCTGCCATATAAACAGCCGAGGGAAGAACTTCCCAGGCAGTGAGGGCAGTTTGGGCAAAGACCTTAAGGAAGAGAGTTTGGCCTGTTCTAGACTGGTCTAGAAGGCTCACATTGCTGCAACATGGTGAGCCAGGGTAGTAGGGCCCCAACCAGGCTGAAGAGGTGTTCAGGCCCCAGAGCACTCAGCACCCTGTAGGTGGTGCGAAGGCACTTGGGTTGTATTCTTATGCAATAGAGCCCACTAAAGAGAGACATGGTCTGCATAATGCACTTATTTTTAATCAGGGAGACCAGCTGTAAATACTAATAGGTTGAAAAAGAGGTGGTGGCAAGGAAAATGGAGAGGAGTCCAGGCAGCCATTTGCATGTGTGTTTGTGTATTTAATAAGGACCACGTGTTCCACCGTTACGCTGGCTTAGTGGAGGATTTCAGACTGTTCTATGTCTCCTCACTTGGGGCTTGGGCTGCCCTTTCATTCCACCGCCATTCCTAGAGGTGTCAAGATACCCGCCTTCACCTTTATGCAGTGCTTCTAGATAGTCTACAAGGTCCATGGCTGTTTACAGGGAGTCGTCCACATGAAGAGGTCAGAGGAAAGGCAAGCTCAGGTGACTGAAGAATGCCGGCACTGTCTGTTGATAGACTTCAATGAAGAAATAGGAATATGAGTAGAGCTGTTTTTATAGAGCCAAAAATTGGTTTCACTATTTCAGTAGGCAAACTTCAGGGTTGCAGAGAAAGCAGGAGTGTCCCTACAGTCCTGTGAAGATGGTTTGATTAGAGCTCCACAGGAAGGCAATGGTCAGGAAAAGGGCCACTGAGTGGTTCCATAAACTGCCGCTAAAGGAGACCTGAGCCAACTCCACCCCTCTGCCAACAAGAATGGAGGCTGGTTGCCTGGCAACCATGATGCCCCCCCTCCCCCGTTTAGTATTAGAAGTTTTAATTAGTCAAGCAAGGCTGCTCTTGATGTTATTCTCATCTGGTTTCATCTGTCCAAACTTATTAATGCTGAAGGACAGGGGCTCCCACAGTGGCTTGCCTCAGTCCCGTACTGCGTGGGTGACCCTATCTCTAAAATCATAGTCCGTGAGCACTGTTAGAGTATCTAAGGTCTGCGGCTTTAATTTTACAGCTGAGACCCAGAGAATTTAGCTGGCTCAAGGTGACACAATCAGTTAACAGCACAAGAACCCTCTTGGAACTAACGCAGTTCCCTGACAGGAGGTTGCTGGTTGGAATTTAACTGAACTGGCTTGACTTGACTTCCCACAGGGACCTTCTTCTTGCTAGGTACTTGAAGGCCTGTCATGCCTGTTTGCAATGCAAAATGGCCCCTTGCAAAGTTGTGCTTGTGGAATTAGTCTCACTAACTCACAATTAGGGGGAGAACAGATGGAACCAGTGGAAAGACTTTAGAACAAGGGCAGTTCTGTTACGTTCGAGTACTGTAACTATAGCGAAAAAAAACTTTTAATAAAGGGCAGCCAAGGAAAGGTCCAGCCAGAACTCTCAGGGAAAAGTTGGAGTCAGCTTGCCTTTCCAAGGCTCAGGGCTCTGTGGGCTTGAAAGGGCTGTCTGAGCGGGGATTGGAGGGCTGGCACCTGGAGTTTGAATCTGTGGAGATCAGGGACCGGGATTGCAGAAGGTAGTACTGGATGCCTACCTTTCAATTAGTGCATTCAAAAGGGCAAAAGGTGAGGGAGGCAATTTGGTATGGGTATGCAGTTCTGAGTGACATATAAAAATGTGACAGGCTCACATAGTCATGGCTATGATCTGAGACTGCAGGGCCTGGTTCTCAGGGACCTGTTTTTCAGAAATGAACAGCCTAAGGTTTATTCATTTTGTCCTAGGAGACAGGCCCCAGGTTTGGAATTTAGCATGCATCAGACCCCGTGCTTATCTGCCCTGCCTAATTTCTTTTACAGGTTACCAAGTTTCAAATGAAGGCACAGGCAGCCTTGTAGAAGAAAGGGGCAGGAATAGGAAGCAAATAGTTTAGGCAGTTGGGGAGATAAGATAGGGCTTTGTTAACCAGGAGGCTGACCCAGCTTTCTGAAGCGGGAAGAGGGGAGTACTTTGCAATTCAATAATCACTGAGTGCCAACCTTAAGTGTCAGGAAGGGCACGAACATAACAGGCTACTAAGAGGGGCAGAGCAGAGGCCCTCCTCTTCACAGCCCACATTCTTCACTCAGTGTAACTCTGAGGACCACTTTCTTCTTAGCACCAATTGGTTCTACTCATCTCACTTCAATCTTCAGCAGCCTGGGGCCTGTGGCAGTCCCAAAGTGAGTGAGTGTGTGTGTGTGTGTGTGTGTGTGTGTGTGTGTGGTGTTGGCAGAGGTGGTGGAGGGGAGGGGGTTTTGCTGGCAAATTATGGAGTATTATAAAGTTGTTAAAAACGACTTAGTTCAATTCCTTTTTCAAGACCAGTATTACCCATGATACCAAAACCAGACAAAGACATCACAAGAAAAGAGCTATAAATCACTCTATTCTATTTTAAAAGGTCTTGTTTATTTCATGTTTGTAACCGTAATAAGTTATCTGCCTGATGCACACAGCAAGTCAATAGGCTGAGACACTGGGTTGCAGCAGAGAATGAAGTTTAATTGTAGGGCAGCCAAACAAGGAGACAGAAGGAAACCTCAAATCTGTCTCCCTGTGGAGTTTGATGGTAGACTGTTTAAGGGTTTTGGGATGACCACAGTGTGGAGATTATTGATCGGTCAAAGAGTGCAGAGTGAAGTCAGGGGACAGGAAGATACAGAAACTGTATTCTCATGCTGATTCCAGTCCTCTGTGGGGGTCTTCAAACTTGTTGGCATCAGCTGTTTCACTGCAATTTGGGAGCTGAGAATCATCTTAAGCAATTCTTAAACAAAGGTCTTATGAGTCTAGTGTCAGAGAGCCTGTCTATTTTAAACAAAAGCCTTAAGTAATTCTAATGTCGGAAATCCCATCTGTAGGAATGACAGGGATACGAATGGTATCTGGTGCTACACGACTTCTGTTTACAAAGAAATGGGCCAAAGTGCAACCTGATTAATGCTTAATTATAACTCTATTTCTGTCCAGAATTCCTGTTAACCCTGTAAGGATGGCTTCGTGTTTACTTAATTCTTTCTCTTTGTAGTTTATCTTTGTATAACTTTAAAGATCTAGAATTCATGTTTATGTTAACATGACCTTAAATTCCATTTTGTTTAACAAATACTCATTCATTGTTTACTATATGCAAGACATTGTGCATGTCTCTATTAGTGCATTAATCACCTCACACTGGAATGATACGATTGTGCATCTGACTCCTCTATTTAAAGGTAGTTCCTTTAAGGCAGTGTTCATCCCTCACTCATGTTTGCATCCCCACCACCTTTCATAGGCCATTCCCATAATAGTAGGTATTTAACATATGTTTGAGGAATTTAGATCCAAATGTGTGTACAACTTTAATATAAGGCTGAACTTTTCAAGAGAGAAAATAGAGGAGTGGAAACTGGGAGATGATTCTGAGGTGAATTTAGGTATGTGTGTATGTGGGAGGAACAATATTAATGAGGAAGGAGGCTAGGAAGTGGAATAGAATCAGGCCATGTCAAAGAGCTGGAGTAGCATTTTATTGCTAATGAGGAGAATGAAGAGTTTGAGGACAATGAGAGATCATTTCATATTAGTTTTTAGAAAGAAAATTTTTGTAAAACCCAATAAGTATCAGTTACACATACGGCTTTCATTGTGAATAACAGATAACCTGGCTGCCTAGATTAAAACAAAGAAGGAAATGTACTGGTTTGTAAAACTAAAAAGTCCAGAAGTAGGGTGGACTTCGGGCACAATTTGATCAAGATCCCATCTTCAGTTTTTTGTGATTATCTTGGCTTTTTCCTCCTCCACGTGTAGACATCATCTCTAGACTAGTTTCTCTCATGGTTACAAGATTGCTACCAGCAGAAACCAGAGCTATTTGATTCTTCCCCCACAAATCATTAACGAAAAGTCCTAAGTTTCACTCTGATCAATTTAGGTGAGACCAATTTAGGTCTCACCCCTCATGAACAAATTAATGTAGCCAGAAAATTTGGATTAAACTGATTGGCTTTGGCTGATTGAGGCCACCTCCACAGCCAAGATCAATCTGCCCAAATGACATGACTACTGCACAGTAGAAGAAAGCCCAAGAGGCAGATGAGAATGTTTACTACGATGTGGCAGAATAAATGTCTAAGGATATGGAAGAAATTCATGAAAAAGAAGAACAGAAAAGGAGAATTTGTCTTACTTTATTAAAATTATCAAAATGAAATGGTATTGGCATAGAGAACCCAGACATAGATATGTTTATATTAAAATTAATTCATGACAAAGGTGGCAATTTGATAGTAAAGCACTTTTAATTAAACGTGCTGGCATAATAATTAATCAAACTGGATAAAAACTAAGTTAGTTAGATCCCTACCTTGTAACAGAAATTTAAAAATTCTAAATAAGGCCGGGTGTGGTGGCTTACGCCTGTAATCCCAGTGCTTTGGGAGGCCAAGGCGGGTGGATCACCTGAGGTCAGGGGTTTGAGACCAGCCTGGCCAACATGGTGAAAACCCATCTCTACTAAAAATACGAAAGTTAGCCAGGAGTGGTGGCAGCTACTTGGTAGGCTGAGGCAGGCAAATTGCTTGAACCCAGGAGGTGGAGGTTGCAGTGAGCCGAGACTGCGCCATTGCACTCCAGCCTCATCAACAAGAGCAAAACTCTGTCTCAAAAATAAATAAATAAATAATAAAATAAAATAAAATAATAAAAGAAATTCTAAATGTATCAGAGAATTAAAAGAAATAAAACAAAACCACACACACACACACACACACACACACACACACACACACACTAAAAACATTAGAAGAAAATTGAAAGTATTTGAATAATATTGGGTTGGAAGAGACCTTTCCAAGTAAGCCTGGAAACCCAGAAGCTGAGAGAGAGAGAAAGAGAGAGAGAGAGAGAGAGAGAGAGAAAAATATTTGACCTTAAAAAATTAAAAATGCTTTTATGTCAAAAACATCAAAACCAAAGTCAAAAGGAAACTAATAAACTGAAAAAAATTTTGTAAAATACATAGCAGAAAAGAGATTCTTGTCCCTAATATATAAAGACCTAAAATGTTTCCAATAGATAAATAGTAGTCAGGGAAATGAAAAGAAAATATCAACTGGGCAATGTAAAAACCTTTAAAAATAATGATAACAGTCTTGGTGGGGTGTAGAGAAACTAATATTTTCATATATTGCTGATAGTGGTATAAATTGTTACCACCTTTTTAGAAAGATATCTGAAAATATATGTGAACACTAAAAATATCTACTTTTGGCTGGGCATGGTGGCTCACGCCTGTAACTCCAGCACTTTGGGAGGCCAAGGCAAGCAGATCACTTGAGGTCAGGAGTTCGAGACCAGCCTGGCCAACATGGTGAAACCCCATCTCTACTAAAAATACAAAAATTAGCCGGGTGTGGTGGCTATAATCCCAGCACCTGTAACCCCAGCTACTCGGGAGGCTGAGGCATGGCACGAGAATCGCTTCAACCTGGGAGGTAAAGATTGCAGTGAGCCGAGATTACGCCACTGCACTCCAGCCTGGGCGACAGAGCAAGACTCTGTCCCCCTAAAAAGGAAAAATATCTACTTTTGAATCAGAAGTCTCACATTTAGGAATTTTTCCAGAAATAAATGATTTCTGAATAAATGATTCGTTGTCAGGAATTGAAATACAACATTGGTGGAGGAGAACGGTTTGATTCTTTGACAGATCTTGTGGAGCATTACAAGAAGAATCTAATGGTGGAAACATTGGGTACAGTACTACAACTCAAGCAGCCCCTTAACATAACTTGTATAAATGCTGCTGAAATAGAAAGCAGAGTTCGAGAACTAAGCAAATTAGCTGAGACCACAGATAAAGTCAAACAAGGCTTTTGGAAAGAATTTGAGACACTGCAACAACAGGAGTGCAAACTTCTCTACAGCTGAAAAGAGGGTCAAAGGCAAGAAAATAAAAACAAAAATAGATATTAAAAACATCCTGCCCTTTGATAATACCAAGGTTGTTCTACATGACGGGATCCCAATGAGCCTGTTTCAGGTTACATCAATGCAAATATCATCATGCCTGAATTTGAAACCAAGTGCAACAATTCAAAGCCCAAAAAGAGTTACATTGCCACACAAGGCTGCCTACAAAACACAGTGAACGACTTTTGGCGGATGGTTTTCCAAAACTCCAGACTGATTGTCATGACAATGAAAGAAGCGGAGAGAGGAAAGAGTAAATGTGTCAAATACTGGCCTGATGAGTATGCTCTAAAAGAATATGGCGTCATGCGTGTTAGGAACGTCAAAGAAAGCGCCGCTCATGACTATACGCTAAGAGAACTTAAACTTTCAAAGGCTGGAGAAGGGAATTCGGAGAGAACAGTCTGACAATACCACTTTCGGACCTGGGCGGACCACGGAGTGCTCAGCAACCCCGGGGGTGTGCTGGACCTCCTGGAGAAGGTGCACCATAAGCAGGAGAGCATCATGGATGCAGGGCCGGTCTTGGTGCACTGCAGTGCTGGAATTGGCCGGACAGGGACGTTCATTGTGATTGATATTCTTATTGACATCATCAGAGAGAAGGTGTTGACTGCGACGTTGATGTTCCCCAAACCATCCAGATGGTGTGGTCTACGAGGTCAGGGATGGTCCAGACAGAAGCACGGTACCGATTTATCTATATGGCGGTCCAGCATTATATTGAAACACTACAGCGCAGGATTGAACAAAAGCAGAAAAGCAAGAGGAAAGGGCATGAATATATAAATATTAAGTATCCTCTAGCGGACCAGACGAGTGGAAATCAGAGCCCCCTCCCGCCTTGTACTCCAAAGCCACCCTGTGCAGAAATGAGAGGAGACAGTGCTAGAGTCTATGAAAACGTGGGCCTGATCCAACAGCAGAAAACTTTCAGATGAGAAAACCTGCCAAAACTTCAGCACAGAAATAGATGTGGACTTTCACCCTCTCCCTAAAAAGATCAAGAGCAGATGCAAGAAAGTTTATGTGAAGACAGAATTTGGATTTGGAAGGCTTACATTGTGGTTGACTACTTTTTGATAAGCAAAATTTGAAACCATTTAAAGACCACTGTATTTTAACTCAACAATACCTGCTTCCCAATTCCTCATTGCCTCAGATAAGAAGAAATCATCTCCACAATGTAGACATTATATTTTATAGAATTTTGTTTTAAATTAAGGAAGCAGTTAAATTGTGTGCTATAGTTTGCAGATTATGGGGATTCAAATTCTAGTTATAGGCTTTTTTTTTTCTTTTTACAAACTTAACCAGTTTAATTTTTTTTTCCTCATCGTGGGGGATGATAAGAAGAAATGATTTGGGAAAATTAAGTAAGAACATCCTAGAAAAGTGAGAACAATCTCATTTACCATCGTGTATCCAGTAGTGGATAATTCATTTTGATGGCTTCTATTTTTGGCCAAATGAGAATTAGGCCAGTGCCTGAGACTGTCAGAAGCTGACTGGTCTACCTTTGCATTGGCATTAAAGAGTCATAGAAAAAGAATCATGGATATTTATGAATTAAGATAAGAGGTGTGCCTTTTTTTTTCCCAGTCCATGACCAATTATAGTTTGGCTGTTGACTGAGAAGATTGTGGTGGGAAAATGTTTGCCATATTTTCTTTGCATTTGTGTAATTGTCTTGTACTTAGAAAAAAAGCACCTATGAATGACCAGTGTTTTTGGTTGTCAAATGTTGCTGACAAACTTACCCCAAAACTTCAGTGGCTTAAAAAATCCCTCACCCCCAACTGTTCTTCAATCTGAGCTGGGCTCATCTGGGCTGTTCTTCTGCTAGCCTGCAGGTGGCCACTCATGTGGTCAGTAGGTTGGTGGAGAGACTGGGGTGGCTGGGCTTCTCTCTCTGCCTGCAGTCCTGAGTCTCTCCTTCTCCATGTAATCTCTCTAAGTGGCTTTGCTGGCAGCATAGCTAGACCTCTCACATGAAGCTCAGAGCTCCCAAGAGCTTGAAAGAAGTGGCCAGGCCTTCTGAAGGCTTAAGTCCAGAGTCGTCGCAGCATCCCTTCTACTGCCCTCTATTGATGATGATGATGATGATTATTTTTTCTAATCAGAAGACAGCTGGAGTATTACCTCTACGTACTAAACAAGTCACAAGCCCAGTCCAGGTTCAAGAAAAGGGTGTGAAGTGGAGGTGCAGTTAATCGGGGGGCCACTAGTCTAACAGACAGTCACAACCAGTGCTATGGAAAACCAAAGATATTAGCAAAAGTAGAAGTTGCTAGTGACCTTGGGAAGCCGAAGCTGTTTACAGTAGCTGGGACAAGCTGAAAGTCAGACTGAGAAATAAAGAGAGGGCCTTCAAGAAGCTTCCTGAATGATTTCTGCCAGCCCTGAGCCTATTTTTGGAACCAGCATTTGGGGAAACTGATCTTGTCAGGATGGATATGTTTAGGGACACAGGGCTTTTGAGAGCAGCACCACTCCACTGGGGCAACCCCAGACTTGGAAAATGTGACTCTTCTAATGCCACTGGCTTTTAGTCAGGCCACAGTGAGAAGGAACAGCCCTAACAGGCCTCCAGTCAGGTTGAATGAGCTCATTTTTGTTTTAGCCAACCGGTAAGATTTACTAATGTTCTACCTTAAGTGCCTTCTCCAAAGACATCCCTGTTTGCCTCATATGTTGAAACATCATTCAGTGCGGATATTTCAATGAAAATATCATTGGTTGACTTTTGTAACAGTAATAAAATGCTATGGCATCTTTGCCGTGAAGTTAGGGTATCCTTGGATTCTTCTGACTTTGGCTCCTGAAAGGAAGGCCTAGATCCAGCCCTGGTAGTAGTTCCTTTCTGAGGTCTCTCAGTCCCTTGAGACCCTGAGGTAGTTTGGCTGCCATTCTCACAGAAAAAATGTATATTAGACCCCACTCCTGCCCCCCAATATTCATTGAACTTTGAATTGCTTCAGAACACAGGTTGGCCTGAAGGTATTCCCTTATTAGGGAAATGTCATGACTGCTGTCTTCTAGTCAAACTTGTAAAGAAAAAGATTCCAGTTCAGTATTTGCAGGAAGAAGCTTGAATCCTGTTCTTTTTATTGCATTGTTACATTGACCATTCTCCATTTTGCTTTGGTTTTGTCTTGACTTGACTTTGGGGGTAAAGTCTTTCACCAGCACACAAGAGTTTGATTGTACAAATATATCTCCTGCATTAACATCTCTGCATGTTGCTTAAGATCAGTTGCTTTTGTACTCAGAATGGAAATACCTGATCTTGGCTTGCTTTGTTTCCTATGTTTATTTCATTTAGATTTCCCTCCATGAGGTCAGCAAACTGTCATGTTCTTATGTAAACTTAAGCCAAGGCCAGAGTTATCATAGTCCCTAGGTTGCTAAGGCTTATCATGTGTTTGGTAAAAGGTGATTGCAGGTTCTCAGATGAGGTTACTTTACATGGGATAGAATCAGGCAGAATGGCTGGATGATGGAGAAAGCTCAGGGTGCAGGTTTAAAAAAAAGTTGTAGAAATGAAAAGTTCCAAAGAGGTGGTTTCTGAGGAAGTCAGAGAGCCCGGGGCCAAAGCAGTCCTTAATGGGTGAATCAGGTTATTTGGAAAGTCGGTGTGACAGACACATGGATGCCATCTACTTCTAGGTTGCTGGTAGGAGGTACTAAATATGCACAATATTCCACAGCTCACTGAGGATTTTAAAATTATAAGCATGGGATTTTATATTTTGGGGTGAAAGAATTATCTAGAATATGGTATTGGGGTTTTTGAAAAAGCCAAATTTCACAGTCTTAGTAACTTTAAAAAGAAAAACTAAAAGGCACTTCATGTCTAGTGTGTGGCCCTTCTGAAGCTGATGGTCATCTCTCCCACTGAAATCAGGGTCTTTTCAAATGTGGCTAAATGGGGATGAGAAAACACGGGTAGGACTTTCTTGGTGTGTGGTACGTGTGCATTCTTTGAAGAGCCCAGTTGCTTTGGGGAAACAGCCAAGAAAATGGTCAAGATTATGTTTAGAGTTTATTTTATTGGGGATTTTAAGAACTAATAACATCTTGAGTTATTTTTAGTTCAGGGGGATGTGGAAAGGCTTGCAATTATGAAATGTTTTGTTGTAGCCTAATATCCATAAGGGAAACTTAGACTGTAGACATAACTTCAAAGCCAGTGCAGTTTTTGTTTTCTGTATGTTGTTGGGGGAATCAAGTTTTTACATAGAGCAAGCACATGGCCACCCTGATGGCAGGATGCTTTGGTTAGGTCTGTATTTGCCCTCAATTTTGTTGAAATCTTTTTTCCCTCTTCCTCTTGAAAAGTTCCAAAATATAGTTTATTGGATCATTCATCACTAAAAACTTGTTCCTTTTTCACTACAGGCAGTTCACACAAGGCAAAAACTATTAAACAGTTGGTTTTAGTATGTCGTATAACTTTGCTGTATATCAAACTAATTTTGACAGGTTTTCATCTTAAGCCTCAAATCATGTAATTAATAATTTGCTGTTTATTTATGACCTAATTGTGATTCTTTTATTAATAAAAGCTAATGGGAAAAGGATCCCTGATTAATAAATAAATAGATAAATCACACATACATAAGTATATATATATGTGTATATATAATATATATACACACTATACATTGTTACATTGTTAATAGTGGCAAAAAATGGAAAGAGATATTTATCAGTAGGGCTATGGCTAAATAAATTGTGACACAACCAAATTATGGAATATTATTCAGCAGTTAGAAATGACTGCTCAGCTCATTTTTTGAGGCCCTGATACCAAAACCAGACAAAAACATCAGAAGAAAAGAAAACTACAGACTGGTATGTCTTAGGAATATAGATAAAAAAAACTTCAACAACATGTTAGCAATCCAAATCCAGCAGTGTATTGAAAAGATTATACATCATGACCAACTGGAATTTATTCCAGGAATGCAAAATTGATTTAACATCTGAAAATCAATCCATGTAACACATGAAATTAACCCATTTATGCCTGAAGTTGCAATTTTTTAATTTTTGCAATCAGACCTTGGCAATGACCTTAAGCAGCAGGATATAAATAACTCCCACATACTTAGGGTTCCAATAATGGAACACTAGGCTTCAATAGGCTAATAGAATTAAGGACAAAAGTATGATCATCTCAATAAACACCGAAGAAAGAGTTGACAAAATCCATCAGCCCTTCATGACAAAAGCACTCAACAACTAGACTAGAAGAGTATTTGTGAAAATTGATGAAGGCCACCTACAAAACACCCCACAGCTAACATCATATTCAATGATGAAAGGCTGAATGCTTTTCCCTAAGATCAGGAACAAAATAAAGATGTCCATTCTTGTCACTTCTAGTTAACATTGTGCTGGAGGTTCTAGCCAGGGCAATTAGGCAAGAAAAAGAAGTAACAGCATCCAAATTGAAAAAGGAAGATGTAAAACCATCTCTATTTGCAGATGACATAATCCTGAATATAGAAAATCTTGGGGAATGCACGTGCACACACACAATACCAGAACTAACGAATAAGTTTAGCAAAATTGCAGGTTACAAGATTAACATACAAAATCAGTTGTGTTTCTGGCCAGGCGCAGTGGCTCACGCCTGCAATCCCAGTACTTCGGAAGGCTGAGGCAGGCGGATCACTTGAGGTCAGGAGCTCGAGACCAGCCTGGCCAACATGGCGGAACCCTGTCTCTACTAAAAATACAAAAATTAGCCAGGCATGGTGGTGCACACCTGTAGTCCTAGCTACTCGGGAGGCTGAGGCAGGAGAATCTCTTAAACCTGAGAGGTGGAGGTTGCAGTGAGCCGAGATTGTGCCACTGCACTCTACCTTGGGCAATGGAGTGAATGAGACTCTGTCTCAAAAAAAAAAAAAAAAAAAAAAATTGAATTGTGTTTCTATACACTAGCAACAAACAATCTGAAAACAAAATTATAAAAAACGATGTATTTATAATAGCATCAAAAAGAATAAAATACTTAGGAATAAATTTAACAAAACAAATGCAAAACTTATATCTGAAAACTTCAAAACATTGTTGAAAGAAATTAAAGAAGATTTAGATAAACGGAAAAAAATTCCGCGTTCATGAATTGGAAGACCAATATTGTTAAGATGGCAATATTCTCCCAACTGATCTACAAGTTCAATACAATTCCTAGCAAAGCAACAGCTAGCTTCTTTGCCAAAACTGACAAGTTGGTTTAAGAATTCATATGTAAATGGGAGGGACACAGAATAACCAAAATAATTTTGAAAGAGAATAAAGTCAGAGAATGTCTTAGTCTGTTTTGTGCTGCTATAACAGAATAGCACAGAGTGGGTATTCTGTGAACAGAAATTTATTGGCTCACTGTTCTGGAGGCTAGGAAGTCTAAGATAAAGGAGCCAGTATCTGACAAGGGCCTTCTTGTTGCATCATCCCATGGCAGAAGGGCAAAGAGAGGGCAAGAGGAGCAAAAAGATGGGAGAGAAAAAGAGTTCAAAAGAAAGCAAGAGAGAAAAATGCATGTGGGCAGGAGAGCAAGAGGGGCAGAGCCCTTATAGCCTAATCACCTCCCATTAGGCCCCACCTCCACACTGTTGGGTTGGGGAATTAGGTTTCTAATACAAGCTCTTTCAGGGACACATTCAAACCATAGTGAAGGACGCAGACCTCCTAATTTTAAAACTTACTACATTAATCAAGGCAGTGTGGTGCTGGCATAAGGTAGACAGATAAATCACAGAATAGAATTGAGAGTCCAGAAACAAACCTTCACATTTATGGTCAATTGATTTTCAACAAGGGTGCCAAGACAGTCCAAAGGGGAAAGGAAAATCTTTTCAACAAATGGTGCTAAGCCAACTGGATAAGTCCATGCAAAAGAATAAAGTTGGACCCTTTCCTCATGTCCTACACAGAAAATAACTCAAAATGGATCAAAGGCCTAAATGTAAGAGTTAAAACTATAAAACTCTTGGAAGAAAGTATAGGAGTAAATCTGGCAGCCTTGGGTTAGGCAAAGTCTTCTCAGACATGACACCAAAGACATAAGCAACAGAAGAAAAAATGTAGCTAATTTGGACTTCATCAAAATAAAAAACTTTTGTGCTTCAAAGGATATCATTATAAAAGTGAAAAGACAACCAGAATAATAGGTTGTCACATATATATATATATATATATATATATATATATATATATATATATATATATATATATTTTTTTTTTTTTTTTTTTTTTTTTTTTTTTTTGAGTCAGCTTCTCGCTCTGTTGCCCAGGCTGGAGTGCAGTGGTGTGATCTTGGCTCACTGCAACCTCTGCTTCCCGGGTTCAAGCAATTCTCCTGCCTCAGCCTCCCCAGTAGCTGGGACTATAGGCGCCTGCCACATGCCCAGCTAATTTTTTGTATTTTTAGTAGAGACGGGGTTTCACCGTGTTAGCCAGGATGGTCTCGATCTCCTGACCTCATGATCCGCCTGCCTCTGCCTCCTAAAGTGCTGGGATTACAGGCATGAGCTACCTTGCCCGGCCAGGTTGTCATATATTTGATAAGAGACTTGTATGAAGAACCATCACAACTCAATAGTCAAAAGATAACTAAATTAAAAATGGGCAAAAGATCTGAGTAAACATTTCCTCAAAGAAGATATATGAATGGCCAGTAAGCACATGAAAAGGTGTTCAATATCATAGCCCTCAGGAAAGTGGAAATCAAAACCACAATGAGATACCACTTCACTCATTAGGATGGCTATAATTTTAAAAAGACTTAATGGACAATAACAATTGTTGGCAACTATATGGAGAAATAGAAATTCTCATACACTGCTGATGTTAATGTAAAATGGAGCCTCCAGGACAGTGAGCCAATACATTTCTGTTCACAGAATACCCAGTCTGTGCTGTTCTGTTATAGCAGCACAAAACGGACTAAGACATTCTCTGACTTTGTTCTTTGGCAGTTCTTCAAAAGGTTAAATATAGGGTTATTGAATGACCCAAAAATTTCACTACTATATATAACCAAAAGGAATGAAAACGTATATCCACATGAAAACATGTACATGAATGTTCACAGCAGCATTATTTCTAATAGTCAAATGATGGAAACAACCCACATGTCTACCAACAGATGAATGGATAAAAAAAATGTAGTACATTCTTTCAATAGACTCTACTATTTGGCAAAAAAGCAATTAAGTACTGATGCATGCTACAATGTGGATGAATAAGTTAAAGAATCCAGAAACAAAAGATCATATATCATACAATTCTATTTATATGAAATATTAAGAATGGGAAAATCCATGGAGACAAAAATTAGTTTAGTGGTTGTCCCTTGCAACCATTAATCTACTTTGGGGGGAAGTGGGAAATAATAGGTATAGAATAATAGGACTGATAATAGGTATAGAATTTCTTTTTGAGGCAATGAAAATGTTCTAAAATTGATTGGGGTCATAACTGCCCAACTGTGTACATCTACCAAAAATCATTGAATACACCATTAAATGGATATGTTGTATGGTGTATGAATTATATCTTAATAAAGCTGTGATTTTTAAAAAATAAATGAGCTAAATTTCTATCTATTGACTTGGAGAGATGTCCATGGTATACTTTTAAGTCAGAATAGAGAGTTCTATAGTAATATACATATCATAATCCCACTTTTTGTTTTAAAATGTGAATATATGTATGTACATGAACAAATTTTCAAAGGATGCATACCAGACTGTTCATACTGGAGGTAGGAAAGAAGGGGTTGGAGACAAGGGGAGATTATTAACTTTTTATTAGACATATTTGGATTTTTTTCACTTTTTTTTTTGAGACGGAGTCTCTGTCACCCGGGGCATCTCCGCTTCCTGCAAACTCCGCTTCCTGGGTTGAAGTGATTCTCACGCCTCAGCCTCCTGAGTAGCTGGGATTACAGGCACGTGCCACCATGCCCGGATTATTTTTGTAGTTTTTAGTAGAGACGCGGTTTCACCATGTTGGCCAGGCTGGTCTCGAACTCCTGATCTCAAGTGATCCACCTGCCTCGGCCTTCCAAAGTGCTGGGATTACAGGTGTAAGCCACCACGCCTGGCCTTTTCACTTTTTTTAGAAAAAAACTTTAGGGAGTTGATTAATTTATAAAAGTTTTGGTATACTTGTTGAAAATAAATTCCTTTGACCAAAGATATTAAAAACCCAGGAAAGGATCCACCAGAATCCATGTAAGATTGCAGCAACCGGATTTCTCCCTGTGAATGACATTCATACAAGCTAACTCTGTTGCTTCCTACAGTTGCAAACACTAATGGATCTCCTTTTTTACTGTGCCAGTTAAACTGAACTCCAAACAATGGTTGGTTATGATCTTCCTCGAGACTGTTTATACATTAGAAAGAATATTTGCATTTCTTTGACTTCCATTTTCCCTTTCCTCAACTTTTCCTTTCAGGTGTCTTTGGCGTGTTTGTAGGTATATCAGAGCATTCAGTGTTTGTAACACTTTCTTTTTTTTTTTTTTTGAGACGGAGTCTCGCTCTGTCCCCCAGGCTGGAGTGCAGTGGCGCGATCTTGGCTCACTACAAGCTCCGCCTCCCGGGTTCACGCCATTCTCCTGCCTCTGCCTCCCGAGTAGCTGGGACTACAGGCGCCCGCCACCACGCCTGGTTAATTTTTTGTATTTTTAGTAGAGACGGGGTTTCACCGTGTTAGCCAGGATAGTCTCGATCTCCTGACCTCGTGATCCGCCCGTCTCGGCCTCCCAAAGTGCTGGGATTACAGGCATGAGCCACCGCGCCGGGCCTCAGTGTTTGTAACACTTTCTATACTGACGGCATCATCATTCTCAACTCCAGAGAGGTCTGGGTTGCTGTTCTCCTCACTGCTTAGCTTCTCAGTTTCACTTTTTAATTGGGCATGTAGGACATATATTTTTTAAAGGTGAAATAAAGAAAGAAAATCAAATCATTGAAAAAGAGAGTGGGGACAGTAAGAAAGGGAGATTGGAGCAGGGGAGAGAGTGGAGGCTGAGGGAAGAAGTAGGGCAATCAAGCATAATAAAGGTGACCAGGACTTGCCCTAAAAGAGTAGAAACAAAAAGAAGACAGATTCCCAGGATGTTGTAAAAGTAGAATTAAGAAATAGGACTTAATTCCTGAATGAAGATGAGATCTTTTGAAGAGAAAAAGAGTTCTTGCTAACTCCCAGATTTCAGGCTGATCTATGAATAAGGAGGCTTCCTAGAGTGTGGTTTTGAACTGGAGGTACTGGCTGGCTGATCACATGAAGACACAGGATGGATGAGTGGTTTGCAAAGAGATACCATTAGACATAGGGCCAGACCACTGTTAGAAGAGATAGGATCAGGCGTAGGATGTTGAGGACCACTTCTGCACAAGAGGAGCTTCCTGTGAAGGAATATGTGAGGAGCAGTCGGAGAGGAAGAAGGAAATCCAGGAGATTGCAATGACATCCCAGGAACAAAAGGATGGGTGAGTTTTGAGGAGGACAACCAGGAGTCTCTGCAGCAGTTAGTGGAACTCAGTGACCAAAGAGTCATTCACTGTAAAGCTACAAGGAGCATTTTTGACAGAGGAGGTGTGGAATTGAAAGATTAGTGGGGGCTGAAAGTAAAGCAAGGACTGGAAGTAAAGGGGAGGTGGCAACTTTTGAGAATTTTCTCATCGAAGGGAAGGGAAGTGATGAAATTGGAGCTTGACTAAGAAGGCAGGATCTATGGAAGGTGTTTTTAGGATGGAGGAAATACGCATATGTTTGTAGGCTAAGAGGAATGACCACTTGAGAGGGAGGGATCAGGTACCAAAAGAGAGAGTATTAGGGGAGGGCAGAATAAAGATAACAGCTGATAGAGTTTGGCTTGGAAACAAAGTTGGAGACCTTTAACTTCTAAGAGGGTGGAGAGAGAAAGAGAGATGATAAAAAGATACTTTTTGGAGAGAAGTTGAGAATATTTTCCAAGAGACCCCAATCAGGGATGACATTTAAAATATGTAACAA
Organism: Homo sapiens; assembly: GCF_000001405.40. NCBI lineage: Eukaryota > Metazoa > Chordata > Mammalia > Primates > Hominidae > Homo > Homo sapiens. The sequence continues at coordinate 82,570,014 of NC_000004.12, read as the reverse complement.
TCAGTGCAGAAAGGACACCAGCCTGTCAGACACTGGCTACCCACCTCAGCAGATCTAGGAGGCCTCCTTCTCCGTTTCCTGTTAACTCTTTAGTTGCTGGATCATAGCAAGGTCTCAGGGTAAAGACTGGGCAGTTGGGTGGCAGACAGCAGAGTGGGACAATAAAACAATCAGGCTGAAGAAACATCACTTGGTTAGAACTTTAAAAAACTGAATAAGAATTACTAAAAGTCCTCAAAAACAGCCGTTTGTGGCGAAAAGGATATGATACCATAAAATGATTAGTCATTAGCTCTCTAATTTAGAAGGTTTTTTTAAATCAATAGAGAATGGATGACTTCCCTAAGCTTAATGCATGTTGGCAAAAAGTCCAAAGAGGGGACTGATTAAAATCAAAATTGCCCACTCTTTTGGCTTATTCTCTTGTAGCAGACAAGAATCTCCTAGTTAAAATAGGGAAAATGGAGTAAAATAGGGAAAATTTCAGTGAATTTCAGAACATAGGATCTGGTTTTCATTTGTGGCTCTCCCTCTGAACACCAGTCGCAGATGGCTTTGCAACTCTGTTTCTCACTGGAGGAGGATGGCAGGAGTGATACAGGACTCCAGAGAATACAGGAAAATGCTCGGGAATTCCCAGATCACAATTGCCAAGTGCATAATATGGAAACTGTCACCAAGGTAACATGTCACCTTCAAAGGAAGGCACCACTGTGCTTGTCAGTACCTCATTTTGGAAATAGTTCTTGCTTATCACTCCAAACCATTGCAGCGATCTCACGCCAGATATGCTGGTCTGACGGCTGCTCACCTGTGGAGCAGTCTGAAAACTTGGTCCTTGATCTGTGGTGTACTGTAGCCTTTCCAAATAGAATTTTCTTGCTGAAAGAGGCCTTGGCAATCATCTTATGCAGGCCCTTTAAGAAGAGGAAACTACAGCTTATTTACAGTTATTTACAGACAGTTATTTACAGACACTTATTTAATAGAAGGCTAAGCAACATTTAGATTCCTGGCTCTTTTAATCCAGTATCCTTATTTCTAACGTACTTGTTGGGAAGCTTAAACTATAATTTATATACATACAAAGGGAATTTCTTGACACATATGACATGCTAATAATTCAGGTAAGATGTCAGAATGAGACATCCTCAGAGATTTTAAGATATAATATGGAGTGCATTGTATTTGAATGGATAGCTGATATGCTGACCCAGCTGGGCTCATGGGTACATTCAGAATGCAGCTTTATTTTCTTCCGTTAAATCTGCTCTGTGGGGCCAGTTTTCCTGCCCCTCAGATGACTGAATACACAGGCCCTATGACATTTTAGGTTACTCTCAAATAATTAAAAGGCCTCTGATTACTTTTAGCCAAAAATACACTCTCATTTCAGTAATTAATATGCATCATACAGGTCGGGCGTGGTGGCTCATGCCTGTAACCCCAACACTTTGGGAGGTCAAAGTGTGTGGATCACTTGAAGTCAGGAGTTTGAGACCAGCCTGGCCAACATGGTGAAACCCCATCTCTACCAAAAATATTAAAAATTAACTGGGCATGGTGGCGCACACCTGTGATCCCAGCTATTTGGGGGGCTGAGGTGGGAGGATCACTTGAACTGGGAGGCAGAGGTTGCGGTGAACCGAGATTGCGCCACTGCACTCCAGCCTGGGTGATAGAGCGAGACTCCGTCTCAAAAAAAAAAAAAAAAAAAGTTGTTAGAAGAGATAAGATACAGGCATTACCTTGGAGACATTATAGGTTCGATTCCAAACTACTATAATAAGGAGAATATTTCAATAAAGCAAGTCTCTCTCTCTCTCTCTCAAACACACACACACACACACACACACACACACACACGCACACACAAATATATATACATAGTACAATTTGACCCAGAAATCCATTTTTAGGTTTATACCCAAAGGAATATAAATCATTCTACCATAAAAACACATGGACCTGTATGTTCATTGGAGCACTATTCACAATAGCAAAGTCAGGGAATCAACCTAAATGCCCATCAACAGTAGACTGGAATGGGCGCGGTGGCTCATGCCTGTAATCCCAGCACTTTGGGAGGCTGAGGTGAGCGGATCACTTGAGCTCAGGAGTTCGAGACCAGCCTGACCAATGTGGCGAAACCCTGTCTCTACTAACAGCACAAAAAAATTAGCTGGGTGTAGTGGCGAACGCCTGTAATCCCAGAAACTCAGGAGGCTGAGGCAGGGGAATTGCTTGAACCCAGGAGGCGGAGGTAGTGGAGTGAGCTGCACTCCAGCCTGGGCGACAGAGTGAAACTATGTTTCAAAAAAAAAAAAAAAAAAATAGACTGGATAAAGAAAATACGGTACATATACACCATGGAATATTATGCAGCCATAAAAAAGAATGAGATCATATCCTTTGCAGCAACATAGCTGGAGCTGGAGGCCACAATCCTAAACAAATTAATGCAAGAACAGAAAACCAGACACCGCATATTCTCGCTTAGAAGTGTGAGCTAAACATTGAGTACACATAGACAGAAAGAAGTGAACAACAGACATGGAGCCTACTTGAGGCTGGCAGGTGGGAGGAGGGACAGGATTGAAAAAATCCCTATTGAATACTATGCGTTTACCTGGGTGACAAAATAATCTGTACACCAAACCCCTGTGACATGCTGTTTACCTGTATAACAAACCTGCACATGTACTCCTGAACCTAAAAGTTTTTTTAAAAATATGTAGTACAGTAAAATAATCTTAAAAATTCCACACTTCAGCGGGAAAAGGTGGGTAATGGTAGGCTTCCTGTGTTTTCCTTCCAGCCTAGTGCTTCCACCTCTTTCTACTCTCACTGGCTACCCGGTTCCTCCAAGACGGAAAAGGGGAAGAGAGAGCTGAGGAGCCGGAAAGGTGTTGGATGGCTCTCACTACCATGGCTACCTCTGGCCATGGCAGATGTTTCCAGCTGATGCTTTCTCTTATGATCCCTGTGATGGGTTTGTTGGACATCGCTTACCACAGCCACCCTGCTGGGGAGCTTCTCACCACCCAGTCATCCCCTTGGCATGAGCAGGTTCATTTTGCCTCTGCCTCATCGCTTTAGAGTCTTGCCCTAGACCCTGCACATTTGGAGGCAAACCTCTGGCCTCTTTCTGCAGAGACTTCTGCCTTTGCAAGCAATCCTCTTGGGTACAATCAAGGTCAATCCTGCTGTGTGTCACTCTCTTAGACTTGTCTTCCGTGAGAGTAAATTACTTCCCCAGCCACAGTCCCTACCTGATATTCAGGCCACTTTTACTAACTCTGGTCCTTTAGGTTTCTCAGGCATGAGCCAGGCACCAGTCCATGGTATTCCCTAAACTGCAGGGGACATCCACGGAGCTCTCCAAGAGGTCTTCCTGAAGTCTTTCTCACTAGACTTAAGGTGAGAGAAAAGCCCCTTCCCCTCCCTGTTAAGTGCAGAGAAAGGGCCTCTTAGAATACCTATGACATGACAGGGTAAATGAGAAATTCAGGAACACTCCTTTGCAAATTCTGCATAGTAGTACAGAACTTTGTTTGGCATGTGAGTGTGGTTGACAACTATTATCTGAGGCCTCTCTAAAAATGGGAATAAAATAAAGGCTTCCATTTAACATCCCGTGACCAGATGTACTCTCACTATCGTTCCAATTGCCCTAACAAGGTTATCTTTAATAGGCAGTTTTGATAACAATAAAATGCCATTCCAATGACTTTCTTTGATTTTTTTTTTTTTTTAGATGGAGTCTCGCTCTGTCCCCAGGCTGGAGTACAGTGGTGAGATCTCGGCTCACTGCAACCTCTGACTCCCTGGTTCAAGAATTCTCCTGCCTCAGCCTCCTGAGTAGCTGGGATTACAGGCATGCACCATCACACCCAGCTAATTTTTTGTATTTTTAGTAGAGACAGGGTTTCACCATGTTGGCCAGGATGGTCTCCATCTCCTGATCTCATGATCCGCCCGCCTCAGCCTCCCAAAGCGCTGGGATTACAGGTGTGAGCCACTGCGCCCAGCTGATTTTGTTGTTTATCAGAGACTACTTGGATTACCAGTTGTTGGATAAGGTTTGGCAATAACTTCGTTATACAGAGATTTTTATTATAATGAAAGTCATTGCAATTGGACCAGCAGCAGGGATTTCCAGAATCCCTGAGAGCGTTATTTATGAGCTGTGCTTCTCAATTCTGTTTTTTCAAATGAATTAGGGAAGTGATTTGAATCATAAAATAACAAAAACAAATTGACTGCCCAAGAGAAAGAAAATGAGCAAGAATATAAAATTTCTTTGTAATTCTAAATGTTCTGTAGTGGTTTCAGTTAGATAATAAATTCATTTATATCAGGAAACCGCCCCCCAACTCAGATAGATGGATGTTTGTGCTGTGCACCAGAGTTAGGACATCAGCCTTGTAGAACAACATGGTGTTGAAATTAGGATGCCTCGTTGTGGTTCTGTAGAATGTTGATGTCTCTGAGTATGGATCTCCATTTGACACAAAATTTTACAAAGTTTGTGGCTGGCATCTCTTTCTGGGCCTTACGCTCTATTTCTTCCATGCCCCAGTCTCTAACTCTGTGCTTGGTCTTTCCTCACAGACTGAATCACTTTGGAACATATCAACAGATCATTTAAAGGTACAAAATGAATATTTGTATGCAATTTTTAAAAAGACAGCCAGTTGTGATCAAACTCCTTACCATCAGTAGGACACACATGAGAGTTCTGAGAATAAGAGGAAGAGAGTTCACATATGAGAGGGCAGAACCAAGCTCAGTGGTGTAGGAGTTCTTGGGAACAGGGGGAGTGCTGCAGATGTTAGACAGAGAACCTAAATCCTTCACTGCCAATGGCCATTCCAGAGATGGCCTTTGAATTGGAGGCAGAAGTGGGACAGAACCTTTATTCAATGTCACATTTTATAATGGACCAATGTGACAACCTCCCAAGTGATGCCAAGGCATAGCACATACTCCGAGAGCTAGCTTCCTATAAAAAGGAGTAAGAGGCCGGGTGCGGTGACTCACGCCTGTAATTCCAGCACTTCGGGAGGCCGAGGCAGGCAGATCACGAGGTCAGGAGATCGAGACCATCCTGACTAACATAGTGAAACCTCGTCTCTACTAAAAATACAAAAAAAATTAGCCAGGCGTGGTGGCGGGCACCTGTAGTCCCAGTTACTCGGGAGGCTGAGGCAGGAGAATGGCATGGACCCGGGAGGCGGAGGTTGCAGTGAGCCGAAATCGCACCACTGCACTCCAGCCTGGGCGACAGAGCGAGACTCCACCTCAAAAAAAAAAAGAAAAAAAAAAAGGAATAAGAAGAGGATGTAGGAAGATCCTCACAAATATGTGCTTGCCTCATCAACACAACAATTCCTCACTCTCACTCCCCAAATACTCAGGACCAAGCTGCCTTGGGGCCTTTAATGGTCTTTGTGAGGTAGAAGCAAGTGCTGGCTGGAAGCCTTCAGAGATTCATTTAAAATTCATCCCCCAAAAAATACTCAAAAGAAAAAAGGACAACCGGTTCTGGAAAAGTATTTCAGTCTTACACCCATATATGATTTAAAATATCTAAGGGTATATTGAGTACATGGTGGACAACAAATTTTAACAGATGGGATACCAAGAAAAAGGCACAGAGAAGCCCATGTTTTGCTTGTACTCTCGAAGCTTCGCTCGAACTCTCATGACATTAACAGAATCTGCTTATAGCAACCAACTCTCCTTCATGGCCAGCATTTTAACACACAATTTCAGCTGGTAATATCACTGTCAGGAATGTAATTCATTTTGCTTTTTGGGTTTATTTGGAGGGACATTTTGGAGATGAAGGCGGCGGTGATTTAGTGGTGCTGAGGAATGGCACTGAGCCTGCGATCCTCACAAACTCAAGTTGGTTTTTTTTAGGAAACATAGGCCTGGCTCTAAATGAAAATGAAAATGTTGAAATAAATTAAACCTGGTGCATGGATTCTCAATCCTTCCACAAAAAAATGGGGGAGGGGAAAGTAAGGGCATTTTACAAATTGGGAGCCCTATTCCCAAGAAAGGGAGTGATATGGCATGGCCATGTCGGAATCACCTGCGGTTCTTTGTCAAAATACCTGTGTTCTGGTTTCCCCCGCCACCTCCAATCAGGTTTTGACTCTGGGTCTGAGGTGAACCCAGGCATCATTTTCTAAAGCCCCCACTGGTGATTCTGATGTGAAAACAGAGTACCACTTCTGTGTTTGAGGGACAGCTAATTCTTTGGCTGGATCTACTTCTGAAAGAATGAATTGGAAGATCTAGCTAGAGGACTCTTTCCGTTATTGCAGAGAGAAATGAATGGCATGGGGACAGGGAGTAGAGAGAGGAGGGGTTCATGGATGGGCCTCAAGCAATCTTACCTTTGGGGGAGTCAGACCACTTTGAGGGTCTGATTAATGTGTAGTTACTCTCCTCAGAAAAGTACACATAAGCTAATTCCCACAAAATTGAGCATATACTTTCAAGGGAGTCTAGACTAAGATTCAGTTTTTGCTTTTGCTATTTTAATTGAATGGATAACAGTCCCACTCATTAAAATAAGGAAAACAAGAGAAGGCAAGATCCCTGGTCTCAGGAAGCTTACAGTCTAGTAGCCAGGAGAAAACAGTAACAAGAAATCAACATACAGAAAAAAAAAAAGAATCAATATACACATAGTAGACAATAATCACAAGAATTGTGGGGAAGGGAGAGTTCTGGAACCGAACGTTAATTGCAGAATTTGAATATGCTGAATTGGAGAAGATTCTTAGAAACACCTGGTTGGGCCGGGCGCGGTGGTTCACGCCTGTAATCCCAGCAGTTTGGGAGGCTGAGGCAGGCGGATCACTTGAGGCCAGGAGTTTTGAGACCAGCCTGGCCAACGTGGTGAAACCCCGCCTCTACTGAAAATACAAAAATTAATCGGGCATGGTGGCGGGCGCCTGTAATCCCAGCTACTCAGGAGGCTGAGGCGAGAGAATCGCTTGAACCCGAGAGGCAGAGGTTACAGTGAGCCGACATTGCGGCACTGCACTCCAGCCTGAGCGACAGAGCAAGACTCCGTCTCAAAAAAAAAAAAAAAAAGAAAGAAAAGAAAAGAAAAGAAAAAGAAAAAGAAAAAGAAAAAGAAAAAAAGGGAATGCCTGCTTGTGTAGAGACAGCAGTTTAAAGGAGACAGGTGTGCTACGGAAGCCCCCAAAAGAATAGAGGGCAGACTGACAAAGGCCGGTTGATAGAGAGCCACCTGTTGGAGGCCAGAGAGGTTGTGTTTGGAACCCAGGCTCATGATGAGCCTAAGATAAAAATGGCATTGATCCATGCTGCTGCTAGAGGTCACTGACATGGTGCCATGGGGTCCCATGGTAGGTTGGGGGTCCGGGATGGGGGAAGCTGTCAAAACGCTGATGAACACAGTTTATGACGGACTCAGACGAGACCCAGGGAGGAAAGCTGCAAGCTGGCGCTGGGAGGTCGGCCTTGGTGTCTGCTGTTCATTGCCAGGGTCCGAAGTTGGCTCTGTGTTTGTTCAATAGGATGGAAAAAAAAAAACCAAAAACCGCGGGACAGCGCTGAGTGGAGGAGAACTACATTCAGTCAATGGGCATGAAAATGAATTTTAGCTGCTTTGTGCAAAAACCCTAGGTGTGCGGACGAAAGAGAGCCAGGCAGAAGGTTACAACAGGTCAGGAATAAATAACCACCAGGCGGAGGATCCAAGATTCTGTCCTTCCTTTTGTTGGATGAGGAGCGCCAGGCAAACGCGTCCACAAAGGCTTCGGAAGGAAGCGGCTCGCCCGCCCACACCCGGCTCCTGCCCCGGGTGACTATTAGGGGCCCCGGGGGGGTGGCAGAAGCCCGAGACCCAGGGGATCAACTCTCCCCGAAGGCCTAGCAGCGGGGACCCCAGAATAAGTCGGGGGCGGGCCCCGGCGCGGCAGGAGGGGGCCGGGCGGGCGGGTGAGCAGATCCCACCCCTTCCTGAAGGAAGCGCCCTACCCGCCGCTACTGCTGCCGCCGCCGCCACCGCAGCAGGTCACAGCCCCTCGAGGCGACAGCGGCCCCGCCGCACCAGAGCAGGTAGGCGCGGCGCCCCCTCCCCTGCCTGGGCCCGTCGCGCAGCCAGGGGGCGTCCGGCCCGGCCCCGTGCGCAGCCCGCAGGCGGAGACCGGGGACGGCGGGGGCTGCAGCGCGGCTGGGGCGGCTGGGTCCGCCCGGCTGCGGGGCCCTGCTCGGCTGCGGCCCCCTCCCATAGCGTCCCGGGCGCGGGGCCGCCCGCCCGAGCCCTCCGCGGGCGCACGCTCCCCGGCAAGTCCAGGAGTCGGTGCCGGCTCTGCCCCGCGACCTGCGAACGCCCGAGCCGGCGCGCCTCGGTCCCCGCCGCCGCAGTGCCGCCAGCCAGCCCGCCCGCTGCGGCCCCGGCCCCGGCCCCGGCCCCGTCCTTTGACAGGTGTCCCCACCCGCCGCCCCATCATCTCGTTATCGGGTGGACTCGGGTGAGAAGCGACCCCAAGTTTGACCTCCCGGTCCCTGTGCCATTCTCCCTGCACTTTGCGGTTAGCCAGGTCAGGCTGGCTCGGGAAGCAGGGGATCTGGGAAGGAGGCACTAACTTGCTTTGCCCTGTGTACCGCCCTCCACTCTAAATGCACAGTCTTCCTTCCTTTCCTGGGCGCACACTTGGGAAGAAATGGGATTTTTGGTTTTTCGGCGGGAGGCCGTGGTAGGTGGGTTACCTAGGCTCTTTGGTAATCTGCTGCAATAAAAAAGTGATTAGCTTTGGGTTCTGGAGAGAGTCCTTGAGTGGTTTTCCCCTCCTTAAATGAATCAAATGGAGTATGAGAGGGTTTTCCCATTTTAAATTCATGCTCCTTTTTTCTCTACTCATTCCTTTCCTCCACCCCTACCCCCACAGCACTTTATGATGTCCCACACATTTCACTGATCTTTTTGGTCAGGTTTATTCCGGCCAGACCGCCTTTCACGGTTGGGCCAGGATTGTGACCGCATGTGGGAACATAGCTCAGGTAGAATGGAAGTCCATCTTCCCGAGTGAACCCACTCCGATGTCCTACATGCGAGGTCCTGTTGGGGAACCAGATATACCAATGCCATGTTGAAAAACAAAACCAAACAGTTATTGGATCTAAAACAATAACAAAGCCTAAATGGCAGGATCAGTTTCTGCATCTTTCTCTGCTTGAACCAAAGACATTTTAATAGTGCAGGGCTATAACTCCATTCTGGGCAGCAGTTCATCGAAAGGATAGTTGAGTGTGGATTTATAAACTCCATGGTAGCAGTCATTAAACTGACCTACTTAAAGTTTCCTATTTCAAGGAAAAATTGTTAGGCCCATATATGTGACCGATCAAAGAATTTTAGTCTCAGCTCTCATGTATCAAATCCCAAACTTTTTCTTGTATGTGTTCTAGAGACTCCATGTTTCCAGGATTAACTATAGCTGTCATCTATTAATGAGCTAGAAATGTGAGTTTAATCTTCAAGGCATAAGCGTAGGAATTTTAATGGTGTGTCCTTTATACATTATTTAATAAATGTTTTGCAAGTCCCCCAAGTTGGAAGCTCACAAACTGGACATGGTAAATAAAAGGGTAAAGAAGTTTTGCTAACAATAATGACTAGTTGATAGATGTTATGACATTCACAAATATATTAAAGTATTTGAAAAACACTTTAATGCATGTTTATTATAATCTGCCATTAGCTGAATGCAATCTGTTTGGATTATTTAAATTGGCATTTAAGTCTTCAGAGCAATTGCTTAATTCATGCATTTCTTACAAATACCTTTTCCATGTTGCTTTGTGGGGGGATAATTTGCTCTATGGAGTAATTTTTTTTTTTGCGTGAACACAATAATGCGTTCTATTTAGCCTTTGTTGTAGAACTACCACAATCATGTTCACAATGACCTTGCAGGGGTTTTTGGGCTCACTTTATCTGCTTTGCAATTGTCAAGAGAGAAGGCCCTTTGCTTTACACTCTTGTCTGTCTTCCTGCTTTGTCTCGCCTGTGACCCACACCTCTTTAGTACAGTGGGTCAGATTAGCAGGGCAGCCTGGAGTCATGAGAGAGGAAAAGCTAGCTGGACCCCGCAATCTCAGCCATTTGGTTTCACTGCAATCTGGCCATTTGGGATCAGTTCAGTAACCAATTAAGCAAGACAAGCACTGACAAGATAATGTATTACTTCTCAGTCATCCCCTTTCACAGAAGAATCTGTAACACTTAGAATCAGCACTACGGTGTGATTAGGTTCTGGTAAGGGTCCAATGAGATGTGTGCTGAAGTTCCCAAAACATTATAGGGTCCAAGTGTTATTGAATCCAGGTCTAAGTTCATGAAAAGCGTAGGACTAGACACAGGTGTGTAATAAGTGTGTCCCTACTTTTTTTGTTTGTTTGTTTTTGAGGCGGAGTCTCACTCTCTCGCCCAGGCTGGAGTGCAGTGGCACAATCTCAGCTCACTGCAACCTCCGCCTCTTGGGTTCAAGCGATTCTCCTGCCTCAGTCTCCCAAGTAGCTGGGATTACAGGCGTCCACCAGCATGCCTGGCTAATTTTTTTTTTTTTTTGTATTTTTAGTAGAGACGGGGTTTTACCATGTTGATCAGGCTGGTCTTGAATTCTTGACCTCAATTGAGCCACCCGCCTCGGCCTCCCAAAGTGCTGGGAATACAGCCAGGAGCCACTGTGCCCAGCCCCTGTCACATGGGTCCGTGTGAAGAGAGTCCACCAACAGGCTTTGTGTGAGCAACAAGGCTGTTTATTTCACCTGGGTGCATGTGGGCTGAGTCCGAAAAAGGAGTCAGCAAAGGGTGGTGGGATTATCATTAGTTTTTGTAGGTTTTGGGATAGGCGGTGGAGTTAGGAGCAATGTTTTGCAGGCAGGGGGTGGATCTCACAAAGTACATTCTCAAGGGTGGGGAGAATTAACAAAGAACATTTTTAGGGGTGGGGAAATTACAAAGAACCTTCTTAAGGGTGGGGGAGATTACAAAGTACATTGATCAGTTAGGGTGGGGAAGAAACAAATCACAATGATGGAATGTCATCAGTTAAGGCTATTTTCACTTTTGTGGATCTTCAGTTGCTTCAGGCCATCTGGATGTATACGTGCAGGTCACAGGGGATATGATGGCTTAGCTTGGGCTCAGAAGCCTGACAGCCCCTACTTATTTTAACTATAAATTTTTACTCCTGGAGCTGATGGTGCCATGTAGCTTTATATTTTTTCATAGTTGTTCTAAGTATTTTAAAACTTGTTCATAAATTATTGGAACTTTAAGTTATTGTTATCACCAAATATCATTTCCTGGTATGTTTAGATTTTTTTTTTTTTCTGGTATGTTTAGATTTTGAAAGACAACTTGTGGCAATGGAAAATCAATCATCATGCAAAGAGATTTTAGATCAGCCATTTAGAATATTTTGAGATAATCGTGAAATCTTTGGCAGTAGCCTTCAAATTCAGCCCCAAACTATTCTGAGTCAAACCAGCTTTGGTAGGTAGGGCTTGAAGCTCTTTTACTAAGTGAGAAATTAATATTTTCCTTTTTGGCATCTATAAACAGCCTTTTCTAGATCAGTGCTGTCCAAAAGAACTTTCTGCATTGATGGACATGTTCTGTAATCTGTCCAGTATGATAACCATGAGCCACATGTGGCTATTGAACGCTTGAAATGTGGGCTAGTGTAATTGAGGAACTGAATTTTAAATTTTATTTAGCCGTAATTAATTTAAATAGCCACATGAGGCTAGTGGCTACCATATTGGACAGTATAGTTCTGAATTTTCTCCCCATATTTCCTAGAGAGATAGCATTTAAAGGCAATTATCCTTTAATTAGAAAAAAAAAAGTGGCAATTGGCATTGATAATACCAGAATTGAGATTTGACTTCATAATCCTATTGCTATGAAAAACCACTTGTGAGGCCACGTGCAGTGTCTCACGCTTGTAATCCCAGCACTTCGGGAGGCTGAGGCGGGTGGATCATGAAGTCAGGAGTTTGAGACCAGCCCGGCCAATACAGTGAAACCCTGTGTCCACTAAAAATACAAAAAAAAATTAGCTGCGCATGGTGGCAGGTACCTGTAATCCCAGGGAGGGTGAGACAGGAGAATCGCTTGGTCCCGGGAGAGGCAGAGGTTGCAGTGAGCCAAGATCGTGCCACTGCACTCCAGCCTGGGCGACAGAGCTAGACTCCATATCAAAAAAA